>NC_000012.12:76399521-76551037 GCF_000001405.40 Homo sapiens
TTTCAATAATATACCAAGTATATGGAATACTTAACAATAATTGGAATAGCAAGCAATGTATTTTTTACAGCATATTGTATTAGACAACATATCACACAAACCAAAAAGCTTTTTTAAAAGAACTATACTGTATGTAATTGATGCTATTGTTAAGAAAGACATTAAGATTCCTTCTCTTCATTAAGATGGGAACACAGAACCTCCGGGAATACAATAATAGTTTCTTTGCCAGTGAAAAACAATCATTTTAGGAGCTGTTTTTGTCTTGTAGGCGTTAGGTATACTCCAGGCTTTTCCATTCCAGTAGGTAAACATCCAGCAATCTGAATTCATGATTCAAAACACACTGACCTTTAACCAATCAGCCATAACAATAACAGAAGGATCTGTGATTGTACTGAGCAGCTCCTTTGTGGCTCTTTTCTTTTCTTCTCGGTAATTTTTCTTTTGTACCTATTTTATAGAAATAATAGAAAAGATAAAAACTCAACAGAAATGAGCAATTTATTTTAAGTTCAGGGGTACAAATGCAGGTTTGTTATATAGGTAAACCTGTGTCATGGGGTTTTGTTGTACATATTTTATCATTCAGGTATTAAGCCTAGTACCCATTAGTTACTTTTCCTGATCCTCTCCCTCCTCCCACCCTCACCCTCTGAAAGGCTCCAGTGTGTGTTGTGTCCCTCTGTGTGTCCATGTGTTCTCATCATTTTGCTTCCACTTCTAAGTGAGAACATGCAGTATTGGTTTCTGAGTTAGTCTGCTAAGGATAATGCCCTCCAGCTCCATCCATATCTTTGTAAAAGACATGATGTCATTCTTTATTATGGCCACATAGTATTCCATGGTGTACCACGTTTTCTTTATCCAGTCTCTCATTGATGGGCATTTAGGTTGATTCCATGTCTTTGCTATTGTGAACAGTGCTGCAATGAACATATACATGCATGTGTCTTTATAACAGAATGATTACATTCCCTAGGTTATATACCCAGTAATGGGATTGCTAGGTCGAATGGTAGTTCTGTCTTTAGGTCTTTGTGGAATCACCACACTGTCTTTTATCCTAATCTAGTATTCTAAAGAGGTTTAGAATTTCATACTATAATGGTGGAGTAGAAAAGTCTAAACCGCTGTAGAATTCCAGAATCTTACAATAAAAATACTGTATTTTTTTTTTTTGAGCAGGAGTTAGTCTTAGACAACCAAGGTTAGAATCTAGTTTTTCTGATCACTAGTCCAGTTCTATGTATCTTTTAAATAATTTTACCTTTTTTTTTTTTTTTTGAGACAGTCTCATTCTGTAACCCAGGCTGGAGTGCAGTGGCGGAATCTCAGCTCACTACAACCTCCGCCTCCTGGGTCAACGCAATTCTTGTGCCTCAGCCTCCCAAGCAGCTAGGATTACAGGCATATGCCACCATGCCTGGCTAAGTTTTGTATTTTTTGTAGAGATGGGGTTTCACTATGTTGGCCAGAATAGTCTTGAACTCCTGGCCTCAAGTGATCCGCCCGCCTCTCAAAGTGCTGGGATTACAGGCGTGAGCCACCACACCTGGCCAATTTTACCTCTTTTTAATTACACAATGCATAAACACAGCCTCACAATAAAAATTTCAAACATAAAGCTAGAACCCATTTTTATTATACCCCCAACCTATTCCAATCCTCTGAATTGATGACTGTTAACCTTCTGGAAAACACTGTCTTTTCAGACCTTTTCTAAGTAACAACCTATAGAAACATGTAGATGTTGTGTTCAGCATGCAAAAAGGTCCCCCAATAAACATTTTTTGAAGAGTATTCATGTCTGTATCATTCTCATTATTTTAAATGTTACATAGGATTCCAACTGCAAATTAAAATAATAAGAGAGCTAACCCTGAGGGCATTCTGTGAACCAGCCACAGTTCTAAGCACTTTACTTGTATTGTCATTACGTCATTTAATCCTCACAACAACCTTGTGAAGTAGAAGTATTATTATCCTTATTTTACAGACACGAAAACTGAGGCAGAGACAGTAACCTGCTCAGAATCACACATTTAGTAAATTGTAGGGTCAGGATTCAAACAGGGGCAAACTAGCTCCCAAAGCTATTTTTTTAACCACTGGCCTATACTGCTTCTATAATATTTATTAATATATTCTCTTACTGATAGAAACCTTCTCTGTTACCAATTTTTTCAAATAACAAAGAATGCCACAACTGTTTGCAATTGGAAGTTTTGCTCTCTTTCCCAATACTAATATGTAAGTTATAAATAATTAAGAAACCATAACTATAAAATTAATTTATCCAAAATATGAAAGTTTCACCTTCATAAGTTAATTCTGATAATTTGAGGAATTAGCAGTGAATAATGAGGTCTTATTGTTGCTTTGTTGTTATAATTTGGATGGGAAAAGAGTGATGATAACCTATTAGTGACTACATTTTTAAAAACTAACAAAATCTTCCACCAGAAAAGTTGCATTTAATGATAAACAGACTAGACATAATACAATTTTAATAATTCTATACCCTCAAAACTTTAGATTTTGGTCTTTATTAACCTATCTGATTTAATATGGGATGCAAATACAAATATATATAGGACCAGGCATGGAACACAAATGGTAAAATAGACTAGTTAGGAACCAGAGCCAGTTGGAAAGCATGTGTTTCTTAAGCTCCAGATTCTATGGCCACTCAGGAAGGTAAGCCCAGTGCTACATATTTCTCAGAGAAATTGGAAATCTGGACTTTTAATTAACTGTTGGGTCAAAATTTTAAAACATTATGCAGGTCAAGTTCAGGCCATGACCCAGGAGTTAGCAATCTCTAATTTCAATGGGTGCCAGAGTTCCCATTAGGAGTTCCACAACATAGTGATAATATACCTAGTTTGGATACAGCTGTACAGAGATAACACATCCTCAGCCTCTGCAGTTGCCATTTGAGGCCTAAAGCAGTCTGCTCTGTGACAGTCATCAATCAATCTTATCAGTTGACCACAGTGTACCATACAAATATTAACATTTTCTATGTGTGCCTGCCTGTCTGTACCACTGGATGTTTTTTCTTTCTTTAGGAACACACATATATATTTATCCTATTAGTCTACTTCCAAACACACATGCAAAGCACAATGTAAATTACCTTTCAGAAACAACTGGAAACTAACCTTAAGAGATTCTTTTTTTGTGAGTTTGCTTGAAGTTGAACTGTCCTTCTCTGAGCCATTATAAAGTTTAGATTCAGACTGAAATCATACAGAAACAAGAGAAATTAAATCCTTCAGATTTTCTACACGTCGCATAAAAATTAATGTTAAAATTATGTGACATTTTTCTCATTTATTGCTATGATTTAAGCAAATGTCAATTTTCAATAGAATTTTCCCTATATGTCTTTAAAAATGAATCCATGTTAAATCCATAAATATAAAAAAGTTAAAACTAATCAGTATACAAACCTACAATGTGAAGTTAAATAAGATCATCTGTAGATTTTACATTCTATTTTTTAAGAGTATTTCTAAGAACATATATAATTATTTAGTTATTCTTAGCACAAAAGTAGCCAAAGCAATGTTATCTTTTAATAGTTGAAATATTCTAAAAACAAACAAAGACACAAATTCTAACAAGCTGATGCACATATTGCCCTGCTTCTACTCCTCCTTCAATAGGAAGAAATACAAACACCTTTAGAAACTAGTATTAAGCCACTCTATCTAATTCGTACAGCGTGTAAACACCAATATTTCTAGGATCTACTACTTCCTACCTATCGAGTGAGTAGGATTTCCTCACTAAATTATTCATGTCTTAAATTTCTTTCCAGACTTTCAGTTTACACTTCACATTTTTATTTAATCTTCACAAGAATCTTGAAAAATAGGCACAACAGATTGTTTAATCTCCATTTTACAAATCATGAAAGGGAAGCTCAGGAAGGTTGATTTTCCAAACTAACAATCATTAACATTGCGGAGATCAGAACCCAGGTTTCCTAATGCAATGCTTGTTTAAAGAGACCACATAGGTTTACCAGAGTAGAAAAGCACAAAAGTTAAAAGCTCTATTTATTTTGGAAAAACAAAATTAAACATACTCCTTCAATGTCCATAAGTTTTATTTTTATCTATTGTTAGACATAAGAAAAGGCACTAAAGTTCTTAGCAGTACTCCTAAGCAGTGCCAAGAAAGTATACAGAACTTGATTCAAATGGTGGCTTTCAAATGTTGAGCGGCCAGATGTGCATAATACCACTAGATATCATCAAGGATACACACCTTTGTATACAACTCCCTCAATTTTTAGATTAATAAGAACAGATAACACATTTATTTGTCAATGATACCCAGTGTGTATCACCCGAAGAAAAGAATGAACTTAGTAAATATCTAACGAATTAATAAAATGAAAATAAAATAGGTACTTGCAGCTCATTTCTCTCATCTCTCCTAAAAACACTTCTGCTACTTGGTATGAAAGATGGGCTATTAAGGTGATGGTATTAACTGGCTGAACCAGAAGGGAAATGCAAACAATTCTCAATGTAGAAATCAACCTAGTTAAACTTTTGGGAAAGTTACTCCTTTAAGAATTGGAGTTGAAACATCACATTAATTACTCCAATGATGATGGCATATATTGTGATACCAAAACAATTTCATAACATTCCTCAAGCCAAACAGGTTTCTGTCTTCTCCTTGGCCCTGGGAACACAAAATGGCATGGCTATTGTCAGAAGAATATGATGGCTTAAAATTATTAGGAGATTCTACTTCCCACAACTTAATAGGACAATGTTTATAGTAGTGTACTTTTTAGAAACTATTAAATAAAAAATACTAATAGTATTAGCTTAAAAGTTAATGAACATTCATGGTTGTTTACTATTTACCAAGTACAGTTAACTCTTGAACAACATAGGTTTGAACTGCGTGGGTCCACTTATAGGCAGATTTTTTTTCTACGGAAGTTACACTGAGTGTACCTGCCTTTCTTGCTTCCCCTACCACCTTCTCCGCCTCTTCTGCCTCTGCCACCTGAGACAGCAAGACTAACTCTTCCTCGTCAGCCTACTCAATGTGAAGATAACAAAGATAGACCTTTCTGATGATCCACTTCCACTTAATAAACAGTAAATATACTTTCTCTTATGATTTTTTAAATAACATATTCTTTCCTCTAGCTTACTTTATTGTAAGAATACAGTATACAATACCTATACAAAATATGTGTTAATTGACTATGTTATCAGTAAGGCTTCTGGTCAACAGTACACAATTACAGTAGTTAAGTTTTTAGGGAGTCAAAAGTTATATGCAGATTTTTATATGCACAGGGGAGGGCAGGGTCAGTGCCCCTAACTTGCATGTTGTTCGAGGATCAACTGTATATACGAAATATTTATATACTCAAAGCAAACTTAGGAGATAGTAGTTGTATCCCTCTTTTACTAATGAGGACACTAAAACTAACAGATTAATATCTTTCCAAAGTCACAAAGCTACAAAGTGGATGAGCTGGGATTTGTACCCTACTCTAATTCCCAGCTTCATGTTCTTAGTTATCTCACTATATTAATTTCTTACCTTTTAAAACTGTTCATATGGTATCTTAAAGTTAAGATCTATCTTTATGAACAAGGAGAAATCTGTGGCCGGGCATGGTGACTCATGCTGGTAATCCCAGCACTTTGGGAGGCTAAGGCGGGAGGATTGCTTGAGCCCAGGAGTTCAAAACCGGCCTGGGCAACATGGTGAGACACCGTCTCTATGAAAAATAAAAAAATTAGCTGGGCATAGTGGTGTGTCCCTGTAGTCCCAGCTGTTTGGGAGGTTGAGACAGGAGAATCACCCGAGCCTAGGAGTTTGAGGCTGCAGTGAGCAGTGATTGCACCACTGCACTCCAGCCCAGATGATAAAGTGAGACCTTGCCTTAAAAAAAATCAAATTTGTTTCCCTAACAATTCTATATGATAAGCTCTAGCGTGGTTATTCCTAAAAGATTACTGTACATAGGGGACCAGCAGGTCAGAAGGGTGTCACATGAGCTTGGTAAACCGCCCTCAAGGAATCTTTAACTCACATATCTCAAGGAATCTCTGCCATAACGTGCAGTCTAGTTCTGTAATACAAAAAGGAATGACCAAGTTCCACAGTCTTTTCTAAATTACTACCTCGGTTTTCTGAATCAAAACACCTTTCAAATGCCAAAAATGTAAACGATTTTTTTGTTGGGGATAGTTTACTAAACTAAGTTTCCCTGCCTTCATAAACTTTATTGACCACTCTCTTAATGATGACCATCAAGATAGGCAGGTTTAATGTATACTACTGCTTCCCTCTTTGTTAAATGGCATTAGAATGTTTAGCATGTTATATATTTTTTACTTCTTTCCTTCTCTTTTTCTTCTTTATTTTCCCCTTTAACTGCTATCCCCTTACAGGCTCTGTGACTTTGAGAAGTTAATTTAACCTGTCAGTCTTAGTTTCTTCATCTGTAAAATGAAGATACTACTACTAATTTATAGGGTTGCTTTGAGGGTTAAATGATACTTAAAGTGTTTAACTTAGTACTTGGTAATATATTGTTTCAGGTTTATGACTATATTTCAGATTGCAGGTGCTATCAAAAATCTGACCTTTAGAGATTTAAATAATGGGGCATTTATTTATGAAAATACTTTGCAATTTGCTTTGAAAATTACAAAATGCTACAGATACAAGGAACAACAAGGATAATGATAAGTTACTGTGATCACATCAGACATTTTGGTTTAGAAAGGTTTGTTAACTATCCAGGTAAATGTATATTTTAAAGCAAGTAAAAGATGATTTAGCAAACCTACAAGGCAAATAGTTAAACGGTTGAAAAATCAACTTAAAGAGATGTGAGCTCAAAAACTCCTTATCCTTTTAACAGAATTCCTTTTATCCCACTAGACACATTAGTTATGTTGTAATTCCTTTGGTTGAGATGGATAATTAAAAATTCATTTTAAAATGCTACTTTGTTTGGGATAATCTGATTAACCGACTTTTCCAATTCACTCATTCATACAATGAAAAAGCCTAGGAAAAGGTGCATGAGAAAGAGGAACTGCCTTATTTTTTGAGATGGGTCTCACTCTGTCACCCAGTCTGGAGTGCAGTGGTGTGATCACAGCTCACTGCAGCCTCCAACTCCTGGGCTCAAGTGATCCTCCCACCTTAGCTTCCTGAGTAGCTGGGACCACAGGAACATGCCACCACGTGTGGCTAATTTTTTGATTTGTAGAGTCAAGGTCTCGCTAGGTTGCCCAGGCTGGTCTCGAACTCCTGGGCTCATGCAATTCTTCCACCTCAGCCTCCCAAAATGCTGGGATTACAAGCATAAGCCACTGTGCCCAGCTCCTTTATTTTTAAATAATGTCTTGGGGATGAGGCAGGTGTAATTCATTGTGTTAATCAGGCTCAATCATGAATTTTAAGAAATAACATTTAACCTAAAATCCTGTGACCAAAATGAGAGTATTCATATTTTTTGCATCAAGTTGGGAAAAGTTAAAATTGTTTGATGTCCTCAGTTACACAACTTAAATCATGAAAGGAATAATAAATCTTGTTTTCCAAAATTACTCAGATAAGAATAAAAATCTTCAGAATTCCACAAGTATGAGGTTTAATGATAAATGTATAAATTTTACAACTGTTCTGAAAAACAAGAGAGTTGGTTGCATGCTCATATATATACACAAATTTATATATTTGAGACAAGGTCTCACTTTGTCTCTCAGGCCAGAGTGCAGTGGCGCAAACATGGCTCACTTTCAGCGTCAACCTCCTGGGCTCAAGCATCTCCTGCCTTAGCCCCCCAGGTAGCTGGGATCACAGGCATGTGCCACCACACCCGGCTAATTTTTGTATTTTTTGTAGAGACAGGGTCTTGTCATGTCCAGGCTGGTCTTAAACTCCTGAGCTCAAGCAATCTTCCCATCTCAGCCTCCCCAAGTGCTGGGATTATAGGCATGAAACATTGCACCCAGCAGAATGTTAAAATATTTAAAGACAATGTAGCAACTATAGACATCTTAAGCTAACAGAATAAACTAAGATTAAATCTAAATTATGAGAAAATCAGTAAGTTTCAGCTCTTGGAAAATAATATGATGAGTATAATTTTACTTATATACCAAATAGTTATGTTAAGAATCCCATTCATTCACTCTAATGCTTTATTCATAAGAAAATAAATTCTTAACTATCTACTGTTAACCAGCTTCTTTGTCAGGTACTTTCTGCACCACAGTCTGGGAGGTAAGATCTTACCTCCCGTGAACAAAAAAGAAAACTGAAGCCACTGTGAATTCTAGTTTTAAGACTTACTATTTTGAGTCTTGGGGAATTAATTTGTCTGAGCCTCAGTTTGTTCATTCATAAAATGGGGCCAATAATACCTGTCTTCTAGTATTGTTATGAACGTTAAAATGGCCCAAGTAAACTCTCAACAAAAAGTAGTTATTAAGTTGGGCATGATGGCAATGTGCCTGCAGTCCCAGCTACTTGGGAGGCTGAGGTGAGAGGACTGATTGAGCCCAGGAGTTCGAATCCAGCTTGGGCAATATAGTGAGGCCCTCATCTCTTAAAAAAAAAAAAAAAAAAAAAAAGGTAGCTATTAATGGCCGGGCACGGTGACTCACGCCTGTAATCCCAGCATTCTGGGAGGCCGAGGCGGGCAGATTACAAGGTCAGGAGATCGAGACCATCCTGGCTAACACGGTGAAACCCTGTCTCTACTAAAAATACAAAAAAATTAGCCAGCTGTGGTGGCGGGCGCCTGTAGTCCCAGCTACTCGGGAGGCTGAGGCAGAAGAATGGCGTGAACCCAGGAGGCAGAGCTTGCAGTGAGCCGAGATCGCACCACTGTACTCCAGTCTGGGTGACAGAGCGAGACTCCTTCTCAAAAAAAAAAAAAAAAAAAAAAGTAGCTATTAATATCATTGTAACTAGCAGCTAAAAACTTATAGGTAATAGGAGAGTCAAGATTCAAATTGACTCTTCACTTTAAAGCAGTGCTGCCCAGTAGAACGTTCTAAATGACAGATGTCCTATATCTGAGCTGTCCAGTGTGGCAGCCACTAGCCATATGTGGTTACTGGGCATTTAAGGTGTGACTAGTATAACTGAGGAGCTGGATTTCTAATTTTATTTACATTTAATTAATTTAAGGATCCACATATGACTAGATGCTACTGTACCCAAAGCATAGTTCTAAAGCTTGTGGGTTCCTCCCCGCCCCCCATTAAGGCACACAGCTTCATTTAAGGTATGCAAAGTTCCTTTTCAGGCCTCCCCCTTAAAGGGTACACATAGATGGCAAATAGGTAGCTGTGGTATGTAGGTCTTTGTGTTTAGGTGTTTAGGCTTTTGAGTACGAATACCATTATACCATGTATTCACCAATTCTGGTATTAATTGCTTGAAAATAGATCTTTTTTTTAAAAAAAAAACTATAAATCTCATTGTATTTCTAGCTGTGGCAGACCTAAGATAAATTATTTCCTACTTTCTTTAATAATACAGATCATGTAAAATGATTGACAGGGCTCAAAACTCACTACCCGAAAATATAGGGGCATACTGACTCTTCTAAGCTGAAGGAAACTGAGAAAACTTGAAAAGCAGAAAGGTCACTCTCTGACCTTCTGCCTTTCTGCTCTGAAGCAGGCCACAATATAATTCTCTGACCTTGCCCTGAAGCAGGTGCTCTACCTATCCTTAGAAGAAAGAATCCAAACACACAGAGATACCAAGAAGAAGCTGAACAAACAGGCCTTGCTAAATTCCCCTCAGTGTATTAGCATCTTATAATACCCCTCAACCTTTGTCCAATCATACTTCTGTGACTGTCTGCTCTTCATCAAACCAAAGCATATAAATACACAGATTTCCCTGTTCTTTTGGGTCTTCATTTCTGAAAGCTCCTGTGTCACACAGAACTTATGTTAAATAAATGTGTATGCTTTTCTCTTGTTCATCTTTCTTTTGTTATGGGGATCTCAGCCATGAACCTTGCAATGGGGAAAGAAATATTTTCTCCCATTGGTGATCCAGGCATTTCTCATACATGTTATATAAATACAAAGTACTTTTAAACTTCTAGCCTAAGTACTTTACACTAATATGATAGATGAACTTTTGTGTAATGTATACATAAAAAGTGGGAATAATATTTATGTAAAATCATACATAAAAACATACTGTGCAAGCCTCTCAACCACTCTCAAGAACAGGAGCAAAAAATGTGGGTTGTAAGAGCAAGCCCAACTGCTGAGAATAACAGAGAATTCAGTCTTTAGAAACAGTTATCTTACAGTCATTGAAGTTTGATTCCATAAACATAAAAGCTCCCCTGCTACTATATCTTACCAGAAAGAACAGCCAAAAGTTGAATTCCTTCACAAATTATAGAAAATCTAGTGAACTAAAAACCCATAGGGAAACTGGTTACTGCATCACATGGCGTTTCTCAAATCTGAATTTTCTTCAAGAAAAAAAATGCTTAACAGGCCTAAGAATGTGTCTAAGTATCCCAGTTTCAGAAATACTGATTCATAAACTATGTCTTATTCTAAGAAAATGTCTGTCAATAGTAGGCAATTACTACTGCAAAGCTCTGGCTTTTAACTGGTAAAATATATGTATTTTGATTGTCATCTGAATGAACTCAAAACACTTAAGATTTTTTTTTTAAAGCCATAAACCCTGAGAATATATCTGAATGCAATCCTCAGACTCAAGTTTGAGAAGTGCTGCTATAGCAGAGATACCAGAAACAGTATTACTCTGGCAGGAAAACTGGTTACCAATCAGCTGTATTTCTAAGTAGCCAACAATACTTATATTAGCCCCAATGGAACTTCACTCTTTTAATACACACTACATGGTTCAGATGTATCAACATAAAAACATCACAAAAAAGCTTCATAGGATTTCAGTGTTAGTTCCCTCATCTCAAATATTAAGAATATGTCATAATCATGTATTTGCTTATATATGCTTACCTTGCTCTTTGACATAGAAAGTGAAGATTCATCTTTATTTTGAGAAATATCTTCCTTCCCTCTTTCAAAACCTTAAAAAAATAGTCAGCATATCAGTATTACTACTTTTGAACATGTATAATAAGTCATTCATTTTCAAGTATAGACTATATTTGATATAAATCAGTGCAGGAAGCCTGTACACACAGCTTTAAACTATTAAAGATCTCTAGAGGGTCATATCTAGCATAATCCTTTAGAACTAAGGCTTAGAAAAAATGAAGTATTTCCCTGAACCCACCAACATCGTGAAATATCTCTTCTTTGCTCCTGCAGAACTCTGCATAAATTCAGCGCTTATAGAGCTTTTATTCTAGTGAGCTGGTTTCCAGCAACGAATTCTAACTCACGGAACCAACTCAACATACTTTTCATACCTCTGGTCAAAATGGAAAACAATTTCAGACGAGGTGATGAAAGACTGGGGAAATAAATCTGGATTGACTTTTTAAAAATCTTATAATGTGCATATGGTGAGAATTAGATGAAGATACATACAAAGCACTTAGCATAGTGTTTTTGCACATAGCATACATTCAATTAATGTTCACCTTTATTATCATTTTCTATTCTTATTCTAAAAGGATGAATCTTAAATACAAGAGTGCAGTGAGACAAACATGCATATACTCCTGCAATCATATAACACTTTAATATAGCACTATGCATAAACCAATTAACAAATTACTATTACAAAGGTACAATTATATTGAGACTTGTGTGGCAGGTATAAAAGGAGCAGTACACATTTTAATTTTAATGAGGTTTTTCTATTTTTGAGGACAGGTACTATTAACTCTTCCCTATAATTATTTGTTCAGAGTCCAATAAAAGCCTATATTTTAAAATATGTATAATCATTCATAAAGCAGCATTTTTAAAAAAGTCAAGTAGTACCAGTGCCTAAAGTATTTTAAAAACACTTCTAGCACATCAAGGATAATACCATTGATTCTGCATTTGGTTTATTAATGTAACAGCTAAAAAAAACTGTTCCATTTTCTTAATCAGATATTTTACTGAAAATTTTATATGATATAAAAAAAGGGATCTTTTTTCCTTCTCTGGTAAGAAAAAAGATCACTCAATCTCAATACTAAAAATAAAATGTAAAAAAAATGAAACTTTCATAAATGCAACATGGAATTTTAAATGAAACTAGTTAGTGATTTGGGGTAGTGGTCTCTTCCAAGTATCCTCCCCACTCCTATAATGAGACAGAAACCTACATCCCTATTAGAATGGCTAAAATTAAAAGGACTAACACCATCCAGGTACAGGTGAAAACATAGAGCAACTGAAACTCTGTTCACTACTGGTGAGAACATAGAGTGGCATAACAACTTTGAAAAACTACTTGACTGTATCTATTAAAGTTAAATGTACATTCTACACGGAGGAATTCTAATCCTAGATATACCCAACAGAAATGAGTGTGTACATCCATCAAAAGAGAGGCACAAGAATGTTCATAGAAGCTTTATTCATAATAGCCAAAATCTGGAACCACTTCAAATGGCTATTAAGAGTAAAATTAATGAATTCATTATAGTATGGTCACACTGTGGAAAATTAGACAGCAACAAAAAAGAACAACAAATATTGAGTGAGAAGCCAACTCTCCCCATTAAAAAAAAGTACGTACCATATGATTCTATTTACAAACAATCTATGGCGTTAGAGGTTGGAACAGTAGTTTACCTTTTGGAGGAAATACTGACTCGGAGGGGTGTGAGAGAGCCTTCTGCTATGGGAAGTGATTACACGTGTCTATACGTAACTAAAAATTCAAAAGCTGCACACTTAATTACATGTAAATTATACCTCAATAAAAATAATTTTAAAACACACCCTTTCCCTACTCTTCCATTTTATTGCGTTTCTCTTGCTTTGACATCCTATGCCACCTAGTCTATATCCCTTTAACTTGTTCTGTATCTGGCTAATTCTGATTCATTTATCAGCAATAATGATATTTATACTAATTAACACAATAATATTAATAAAAGCAATAATAAAGCAACCAATACCTATTTGTGAGAACCCGAGTGTGACACACTATGCTATAGGTTTCATTTTTTTCTAATCTTTAAAACAATGCCACACACACAAAAAAATTAACCATATTTTACAGTTGAAAAAACTAAAGCTCACAGAAATTATGTTGACCAACATCAACAAGTGACTATCAGAGCTGATTTAAACTTAGGTCTACATTTAAAACTCATGCTGTTTCTACAATGCCATGGAGCCTCTCAAGACGCAAGGCCACCCCTTCAGGGAGGCCTTGTTTTGACTTTGCAGGCATAGTTAGCTGTTCCTTTCTATGACACAAACAGCACTTCACACATACTTGTACTACAGTATTTACTGCAGTATACTCCAATTATCTTTATGCTCATGTTGACCGTGAGTTCCTGAAAAGGGTCTAATCTTTGTATATTCTCTGAAACTTAAAAATTTCATAAATTAATCAAAAATTTAATAGAAAGAACTCCATTTTTACTTCCAAAGGTTTTAGAAAATGTGAAATACAGCACATCTTCAGAAAAATGCCTAAAACATAAATGTATAACAGAGAATACTTACTTAACAACCTCCCAAATCAAGAAATAGAGAATTGCTAACATTTCATAAGATTCCTCCTCAGTGCAATTCTTAATCACAATCCACCCTTTGTCTTCACAAGTAATTCGACTTGTGCAATAATTATTTACTAGCGTGTCACAGCAGGTACTTCATTCGTTTTCACTGCTGATTAGAACCCTACTGCATGACTATACCACTATTTATCCATTCCACCATTATCAGACACTTGGATTGTTCCTAATTTTCCCCTGTTGAACAATAGTGCTATGAATATTCTTGGAAATGTATCGTGGTAGACACCTCTAAGTTTCTCTAAGGTTTAAATCTAGAAGGAGGAATCCTGGGTCACAGAGCATGTGTAACTTAAACTTTATACCAAACTATGCAAAAGTTCTCTTTTCTCCATAACCGTAGTAACTTCAGTATTGAAAAACTCTTAATATTTTTGGCAGTCTGGTGGATGCACAGTAGTTTGTCAGTGAAGTTTTAGTTTGCGTGTCCCTGATTACTAATGGTGTTGAGAACTTTCTCATGTTAATTGGCTAATTTCCTCTTTGTGAAGAATGTCTTCAGACCTTTTGTACATTAAAAAAAAAATCGTCTATCTTTTCTTATTATATAAGAATTCTTGATATAGTCTAGATACTAGTCCTTTGCCAAATGTATTTGTTGTCAACATCTCCTTATTCTGTGGCTTTTTACAGGCTATGTGGTTTCTTTTGGTGAAGAGCTTTTAATTTTCATGTAGTCAAATTTAGCAATCTCTTTCTTTAAAGGTTAATGCTTTGGGGTCTTAAACTCTTCCCTAAATCTGCAGTCATAAAAATATTTTCCAATAATGTAGTTTTACTTTTTGCATCTACATCTACAATCCACCTGGAATTGACATTTGAGTACAGTGTGATATACGGGTACAATTTCACTTTCTTTGCATTTAGACACCAACTGACCTGCCACCATTTATCGAAAAGAACTTCTTTTATCCATATGTGTCAAATGTTCACAAATGTGTAGGTCTGTTTCTGCACACCCTATCTGTTCTATTCATCTAGCACTTAAAGTACAGTATTGCCTAGAAATGGTGAATGCATTCTTGTTTCTAATCTCAAAACTGTCAATATTTAACCATTAAGTACAATGTTTAATGTAGATTTTTGATATATTTTTATATGTGTATTTATATATATATTTGGATATAGATATTGATATTGGTACATATATTAATATATATATTTAAGGAACAGGGTTTATTTTTCTGGTTTTTTTTTTTTTTTTTTTTGAGACAGGGTCTTGCTCTGTTGCCTAGGCTGGAGTGCAGTGGTGTGATCTCAGCTCACTGCAGCCTCGACCTCCTGTAACAGGCAATCCTTCAACCACAGCCTCCTGAGTAGCTGAGACAAGAGACACATGTCACTAGGCCTGACTTTTTTGTTGTTGTTGTTGTTGAGATGAGGTCTCATCATGTTGCCCAGGCTGGTCTTCAAATCCTGGGCTCAAGCAATCCTCCCACCTCAACCTCCCAAAGTGCTGGAATTACAGGTATAAGCCACCATGTCCAGCTGGAACAGGTACTGATACAGATATTTAAGGAAGTTCACTCCTTCTAGTTTTCTAAGAGTTAACAAAACGAAATTTGGATTTCATCAAAACTTTTCCCACATCTATTAAGATAATCATATTATTTTTTCTGCTTTTAATCTGTTAGTGTAGTGAACCACATTTATTTCTAATGTTAAGTCAATCCTGCTTTCTTAGATTTTCATCCAACTTAGTCATAACGCATTGTCCTCTTTATAAAAAGATATTGCTACTACCATTAAGGAGTGTTGTAATCCATATTCATTACTGATTGGAAAAATTATAGGACAATCTCTTTCAGTTGAATTTCATGTCAAAGTTATACTAATACTAGTGTTCTTCTCACTCTCCACTTCCATCCTCTGAAAGCAGTTGTGCAAGACTAGAATTATTCTTTCATTTAACGGTTGGTAGAACTCGGTATCTACCTGAATCCGGAGCTTTCTAGTTTAATTTCTGTTTTTCTTTTTTTTTTCTTTCCTTTTTTTTTTTTGAGATGGAGTCTCGCTCTGTCACCCAGGCTGCTGGAGTGCAGTGGCACGATCTCGGCTCACTGCAACCTCTGCCTCCCGGGTTCAAGCGATTCTCCTGCCTCAGCCTCCTGAGTAGCTGGGATTACAGGTGCATGCCACCAGGCCCAGCTAATTTTTGTATTTTTAGTAAAGACGGGGTTTCACCATGTTGGCCAGGCCGGTCTCGAACTCCTGACCTCAAGTGATCCACCCGCCTTGGCCTCCTAAAGTCCTGAGATTACTGGCATGAGCCACCATGCCCATGCCCAGCCTCTGATTTAATTTCTTAATGGTTATTAGGACTATTCAGATATTCCGTTTCTTTTAAGAACAATTTCAGTAAACTATATTTACTAAGAATTTATTTCATTTGAACTTTTGAGTACATCAGCATACAAAAGTTCACAATATTCTCTTACATGTTTAATACATGGCTCCAACTATAGTTATATCTCTTTATTTTTGATACTGGCTAATTGTATCAGAGTTAAGGTTTTAAAAAAACACCTTTTGTCTACTGATTTGCAGTAACACTCTTTTTCATAATAAATCATACCACAGGTTTGTCTATCAGTCTTTTTCCAAGAATTTTAGGCTTTACTGAAACTCTCTAGTGTGTGTATTTTCTGTTCCATTAATTCTTAGTCTTACATTTATTATAGTCTTTTTTTCTTTTTGGAGATTTTGCTCTTATTTTTTGAACTTAAGAAAGATACTTAGCTCATTAATTTTTCTTCTCCCTTCTGTTTCTAAAATATGCACTTAAGGCTAAACATTTCCTCTTAATCACGATTTTAAAGCTATATTCCACAAATTTCGATATGTAATGCTTTCATAATTGTTCAAGTCAGTTATTTTTCCAATTCCTATTTTGATTTCTTCTTTGATCCATGAGGCATTTAGAAATATATTTTTGAATTTTAAACATAACAGAATTTTTATTGAACTTTTTGTTATAGATTTCTAACATAAAAAATAAGGTCAGATAATATGTTCTGAATAATTTTAATAATTTAAAATTTGTTGAAACTTACTTTATGGCACAGCATATGAGCAATTTTTATAAATATACCATATGTATTAGATAAGAAGGTATATTCTATAGTTGTTGGGTATAAAGTTCTATATTTGTCCATTAACACACATTTCTTAGTAGAGAAGTTCTATTTTGATATGTATTTACTGATTTTTGTCCTTTTCTCCCTCAATTACAAAGAGAAGAATATAAGTACAGATTTATCTAGTTTCCATGTTGTTCTCTATAAAATTTCCTTATATATTTTGAGGGCATATAATGTACTCATGCTTTTTGCCTCAAAATTTATTCTGTCTGGTATCAATAGATACAGGAACTTTCTTTTCAGTAGTGTTTGCATTGCTTTTTATCCCTAGTCCTTCCCTACCCCAACTTTTCTTTATTCTTTTATATGTAGATATGTCACTTGTAACAGCAGGTACTGGATTATTTTTAATACTAATCTTTAGATCATTAGTACTCAATATAATTGCTGACTTACCTAGATTTATATTTATCTTATTTTGGACTTTCTATTTGTTCCTCCCATACTCTATTGTCCTCTACTATCTTGTCTTCTATTTATTATAAACTAGTTAAGATTTAAAAACATAAATTAATCATTGTGTTTAGTGGTTACACTCAGAAATTAAAATATGTATACTTAACTTTTCAAAGTTTAAAATTAATTATTAATTTACTCTCCTTCTGGGAAATACAAAGGCCTTGGAAGAACTTATTTACCTCCCTTCCAGCTTATACACAATAACTGTCATATATTGCAAATCTCTCTCTCTTCTTAACTCCAAAAGACATTATTTGTATTGGCTTTAGAATCAGTGTGCATTAAATTTGCCCATATAGCCCTTGCTATTTGTTTATCCTTACAACTTAAGACTTTCCATCTGAAATCACTCTCCTTTTGCCTGAAGTACACCTGTAGCTTCTACTGTTTCAGTGAAGAAGTCAAACAGGTGTGAGTTTAACTGTTGTTATTCTTGTGAAGGAAATCTGGGTGTTTTCACCCTCTGTCTTTGATGGTCTGTAGTTTCACTATGATGTGTTTAGGTTTAAGTTTCTTTTTAATTTGTTTTCTTGAGAATTTGTGGTTAGTATCTTTGATCAGTTCAATTATAGCCATTATACTTAAAGACTTTTTATCCTATTTTGTCTATTTCTTTTATTTATGACCAAAAAAAGACAGCTTTTTCCCTTTTATTCTGCATGCCTCAACTTCTTTATTTTTCATCTTTTCCCTCCCTGCTGTATCCTGAATAATTCTTCTGACTTACTTTCCTCTTCACTAATTCTATCTTCATCTGTATGTCCAATGTACTACTAGTATGTACACCGAGTTTTAAATTTTGGTTATGTTTAATTTCATTTCTAAAATTTATATCCTAATATTTCACAAATCTACAGGCTATTTTAAATAATTCCATTTTGAAAGTTTGCATTTATGTTTTTAAAAACCGTAAACAGAGCTTTAAAAACATTAGTTTGTATCGGATCACTCTAATATCCAAGAAGCCTTACCAGCCTCTTTCTACTGTTTGTTGTTTCAGTTACTTCTCATTCATGTCATATTTTCTTATGTATCTGGCCATCTCTGACTTGTGTACTAATTGCTGACTTTGAAAAAATTATTTGTAATAATAATTAGAGACCTGGAATGAAAACCCTCTCTCCAGAAAATTATATGATTTTCACTACCTTTTTTTTTTTTTTTTTTTTTTGAGATGGAGTTTCATTCTTATTGCCCAGGCTGCTGTGCAATGGCACAATCTCAGCTCACCACAACCTCCGCCTCCCGGGTTCAAGCAATTAGCCTCCCGAGTAGCTGGGATTATAGGCACACACCACCACGTCCAGCTCATTTTGTATTTTTAGTAGAGATGGGGTTTCTCCATGTTGGTCAGGCTGGTCTTGAACTCTCGACTTCAGGTGATCTGCCCACCTCGGCTTCCCAATGTGCTGGGATTACAGGTGTGAGCCACTGTGCCAGGCCGATTTTCACTACTTTCTTAACAGCCTTTCTCCAAAGTATTCTGTCTCTTGTTTAACTTACATAAAGTAATAAGAGTATCTCTGGGGTACTTTATTGAAGCCAAATTCCTTCCAAATGGTCATTAAGTAGCTAAGTGAGGATTAGAAACCAGGTAGTCTTGCTCCATTTTCACTCTGCAACATACATCCAGGCTGACTTCCACATTTTCTAAGGTTATAGAACCTATAACAACAGCACATATTCAGGTCAGATGAGGTGGCTCATGCCTGTAATCTCAGCGCTTCGGGAGGCTGAAGTGGGCAGATCACTTGAAGTCAGGAGTTCGAGACCAGCCTGGCCAACATGGTGAAACCCCCATCTCTACTAAAAATACAAAAATTAGCCGGGTGTGGTAGCACATGCCTGTAATCCCAGCTACTTGGGAGGCTGAGGTGAGAGGATCACTTGAACCCCAGGAGGCGGAGGTTGCTGTGAGCCAAGATGGTGCCTCTGTGCTCCAGCCTGGGCGACAGAGTGAGACTCCATCTCAAAACAAAAACAAACAAAAAAGCAGATATTCAGAATGATTACTATTTAGATTGACAGATGGCAATCCTTTCAATCAATTAAGAAATAATAATGGATTCACCTCTTATAAATATAAATATTAGGCTGGGCATGATGGCTCATGCCTATAATCCCAGAACTTTGGGAGGCTGAGGCAGGCAGATCACTTGAGGCCAGGAATTTGAGACCAACCTGGCTAACATGGTGAAACCCTGTCTCTACTAAAAATACAAAAATTAGCTGGGCGTGGTGATACATGCCTGTAGTCTCAGCTAGTTGGGAGGTGGAAGCAGGTGAATCCCTTGAACCTAGGAGGCAGAGGCTGCAGTGCGCCGAGATCACACCACTGCACTCCAGCCTGGGAGACAGAGCGAGACTCCATCTCAAAACAAAAACAAGAACAAAAACAAAGTGCATATATATAGTATAAATATTTATAGTGTACCTACCTGTTACATAACACATTGCATTTAGGGATAAAAACATGAAAAGACATTGTTCCCTATCATTCCTTTCTTTTAAAAAGGCTACTGTCTAAAGAGAAGCCAGGTATTCAAACAAAAATTATAATACAGTAAAATAACTGCTTATAATAAAGGCAGAGGGATACCTGCGAATAAGCTATGGGGTCAGACTATCTATCAACCCTGGCGCCACCATTTACTAGCTGTATGACATTGGGCACAATACTTAACTTCCAATGGTTCAGTTTCTCCAATGGGGAAAGGCTTGAAAGTGATAAAGTACTTAAGACTGAAGCAAGACAGTGCTATAATATTCTCTTCATATAAAAAGAAAAAAACATAGTAATGAGTTTCAGAAATGTTTTTAGCCATCAAAGCAAATAAAAAAGAATTTCCTAAAGCTCAACCCCAAAACAAAAACTAATGACATTCAAACCTGGTTGAAAAAAGTCTGTCATATCTTTCTTCTAATCTTTTGGTTTTGGAAGTAGTCACAGACTCATAATAATTCCAGTGAATATAATAACTCTTCCATCAAGTAATTATATAACCATGGTAAGTTCCTTAAATTCCAGAGACTTCAGTTTCCCATCTACAGTAAATTTTACATTAGACAATCTCTAGTGTAAGTACATAGGTTTACTTTTTCCTGCTAATGCAATGGAATATTATCGCTGAATAAATTAGCATTCTGCCCTTAACCTCTAATTTGTCCACAAAATGCAAGTACTATCATCACTGATAAGGCGTTATCTTTTTGATATACCTGGTTCATTAATACTGTGATATAATAAAGCAAATTTTATGTTGCGTCAGTCTTATTAAAATGAAATTACATAAACAAATCTACAAATAAAGATTTTATAAGTATCTACAAAATAAATACAGAATTGCTACATTAACTATATTGAATACAGCCAAGAGCCAAGAAAAAAATCTGAGAAGTCAAAATATACAAAACAACTATGTACTAAAATGTACAATCTATAGATGTCTATAGATGCTTTCTTTGTTCAAAGTTTATTTACTCCAATTTGTACGTACTGTTCTAGAGATTAGTAAAACAAGCATACCTAAAAGTAACAGCTGAGATCAAGAGATAGATAATCAGATATGAACTAAATAAAACAAACACATTGCATCATGACATCACTATGGGTACAGGGGCAGGGGTGTCACATCCATGTTATAGCTAATCATAAAGAAAAAGGTTATGCTGACGTATTTATTAAGGCAGAAGTGGCTAAAAGAAAAAAATATTTTTTTCAGGAAAATTAAAATTAAAAAAGGGTTATGCTCAAAGCAGTAAGAAAAAGTTATCTTTAAATATCACTAATGAAGAACAAATCTTTCCTTCTCTAGTTTTGTCAGATAAAAGCAAATGCATCTAAAATAATTTTTTCAATACAACAATGAAGTATATCAGGAGATATTAGATGTACTTTTTACTTTTACCTTAAGTCACAACAAAAAGCCACTTCTTTGAAGTACTTAATTCCATTCTACTTCTTAGTTGATAAAAGCAGATATTTTATAGAGCTTTTTATCACAGCTGGTTGTATTAAGGAGATGATGGAATCATTCCTATGAATATGATTTTCTCTATTTCAAGAATTAGAAAACAAAGCAAACCATTTACTTTTCTATAGAAACAAATCCATCCAAGATGGCTTTTAATATTTCTTTGACAAGATAAACTGACAATTTTGCCTTTAACTGCCTAATTAAATAAGTACCAAACTTAAAAGCTAAGTTTTCTATTGTTCATCAAGGTCACATGATTATTCTGTAAAGCTAAGTGGACTTGTGGCATGAAGGTCAGCAAACAATATATACTAGCAAGCTTGTTGGCCTAAAAAATGCAAACAAAGAGACAGAAACAAATACAGAAATGAAACTCATTTTAAAATAAAAAATATCTAACATTAAAAAAATCTCAGTATTTTGTATTTGCAAAGCCACTTCTGAATGACAAACGACTAAAATTTACACCATTTAAAACATAAGAAAGACGCATGAGAGCAACCATGCTACACTAAGAAGACTTAATATGGATTGAGTGCTATTTAAAGCTTATACTACTTAGGGAGAGTTCAGGACTATGGTTTCCAATTCTTTTGTGAAACACTGTTAGAAAAGAATGAAATCAGTCAATTTATAATTTATTTAATTGCCCAGGTGAACACTTTCTATGAGGCGTTTCACTATCTCAGAAGAACACATATACCACTTATCAACATGAATATTCAGAAAGCCAAGAATAAAGGTTATTGTGAAAATAGGGAATTTAATTCAACAAAATCTAAGTGTCAGAAAAAATATATAAATACAAGTATCAGTTTCAGTCAATATTTCTTTGCCATCATTATTAAATAGTACTTTTATTTTAAAAGAAAATATAACCCTAAAAGAGTAGACATAATTATATAGTGTTTAAAAATCTGAAAGGAAAAGATTATTTAAACATATTCAAATATTTGCTACAATTTCAAACAATAAAAGATCAATTTATGTCTACATCTCATTGACCAATTGTTTAATGCCTAAATCATAGCTGTCAAATGCCTAATAAATATAACCCTAAAAATATCATAAATTTTCATGATAAAAATTAATCACACACAAATACATCTAACAACAAGAGGAAGCTAAGGTATTTCAAAAACTATACTTGAGTAGAAAGCTTCACTTTAGTCAGAATTTAAGATAAATTTAAGAATTTAAGATAAAAAGATTAAGATAATAAAGTGGTAAGATTAAAGCTTACATTAAACATCAACTTTAATATAGTTACCATTCTGCAAAAAATGAACAAATATCAATATTAATATCTGGGTTTCATTTGGTAAACCCTCAGAGCAATGTGTTTATTTATATAATTTTGTGTTTATCTCAAGTCTAGAAGGGCTTTAATTTTATCAAAGGGTCATAATATTTCTATAATTAAAGCAAAAATTTATGCCGTAAGCACTCAAGATTCCTACTTTACTGAATCATTACTTCTGAAGTTTTAACTGAAGAGGCTCTAAGAGAAAATATGGAAAAGCCAAGCTGTTTAGCAGCAGTTACTGAAACCTAAGCTTTCACTACAGAATTGTTTTATTTAAATGAAAGCGGCTTTAAAATGTTAAAATGCCTGGTTTATTTTAATTAAAAGTCTGCAAGAAATTAGGAATGCAAGATTAAACACACAAACCTGGCAATGAAGGAGAAAGTTCATTGTATCCTCCAAATGAAGCATTCCGAACAAGCTTTCGGCCATCAATCCGGGGAGGAAATAAAACAGGCAAAACCCCAGTACAGGAAGAAAATCTACGTTGTGAGCTCTCTTCTTTCATAGCTCAGAAGGTCTATTTAATGTATATGCTCACCCAAAGGCTAATTAGACCAATATGGCAAAGACAGGCTTTTCTCTCACATCCAACTGTAGCAAAACCCACCAGCACAAACAAAGAACACACACATTTAACAGCAAAGGAGAAGGACCAAAGACTGTCAAATCAGCAATAAACAGATAGAGAAAGCCTGACAGAAAAAGCATTAAACCATGCTGCTGATTTTTTAAAAAAAGGAACTGATAAACATGAAAGGCTATTCTACTAATGTTTTACCTTTTTATCAAACCACCCTGCACTGAATTGCTGCTTTAGGAAAACAAAACAAGATCAATACTTAGCAATTCAAGATGAAGCAATAAAGTCATTTTCTCTTCTCAGAAATGCAATCCTTTTATCATATCCATTATGTTTCTGTACTATCCGGCCACACTTCCCACCTCTTCCGACTCCTTCCTTCCCAGCTTTTACTTACTTCAAAGATGGATATAAACATAATGCTTTTTATCTTCCCTGAAGCTTCTAGATTTATATCTAATCTACAGCTTGCCTCAGCCATGATTAAACATTCATAAGGAAAGATACTCTTTCAAGCACAACGTTGATGGATTCCAACAGTTAAAGCAGAGAATAAACATTTAAGTTTTGCCTCCAGCAGGGATATATGAGTCATTAAGACAGTGTTAGCGCAAACCAATCAACAGAGGAGATTAAAACGACACCATAATGCTGTATGCTCTAACATGTTCCTTGAAGAAAATATGAGCTGCTACTGTTCCTCTTAATTACATTTAAACTGTTCAAAATTTAATTTGAACAGTTTCATTACATCTAAACTGTTCAGTCTATCAATGAGTCTTTCCTGCTTAAAAAAAATTTTTTTTAAAAGCAACTTTATTATCACAGTGACAAATGTACTATGTTTAAAACTAAGTGACCAGTATTGACTCCACGTCATTAAATCTAACAGGTACCATCTGTTTATACCTAATCTTTAAAATTCCAAAGAATTCTCTCCCAATTATACTAAAATCCATATACCTTACCCTACCTTAATTCAGATTTAAAAGCTCTAGTCAGATGCTCTCTATATATGCCGTAGATTGATTTTTTTGGTTATAATTCTTTCTTTCAATCTGAAAATACACCCACTCAGCTGGACAATAACCATCTAGGTTAAAATTTATTAGTGGCTCATTTTTATAGGTATCTTACCATAAGATCTCAGTATCCTTCCTTATTATGCATTCACTTCAACGCTGGTTCTCTATTCATGCACAACATCTCATATAATCTAAGACTTTGTCCTTACTAGAAAGAACACATGAAAAAGCAAAACTCAATTTCTTTTTTGTTTTTTGGGTTTTTTTTGAGATGGAGTCTCACTGTCGCCCAGGCTAGAGTGCAGTGGCAAAATCTCAGCTCGCTGCCACCTCTACCTCTCGGGTTCAAGTGATTCTCCTGCCTCAGCCTCCCAAGTAGCTGGAACTACAGGCACCTGCCACCATGCCTGGCTAATTTTTGTATTTTTAGTAGAGATGGGGTTTCGCCATGTTGGGCAGACTGGTCTCAAACTCCTGACCTCAGGTGATCCACCCACCTTGGTATCCCAAAGTGCTAGGATTGTAGGTGTGAGCCACCGCACCAGGCAAAACTCAATTTCTTGTATGTGACATATTCTTTCTTGGGCAAAGGCATTTCAAAATCAATTAATGGAGAATAAGTTTACCACTAATACCCATAACTGCAACAAGTTTGTGGGTTTTAGGGGTTGGTTTGGTTATTATTATTTTTTGCTTTTCTCCATATCATAAAATGTACATTATTATTAACTGTAGACAACAAATAATTATAATTCATGTAATGGTGCTTGCCTTTAAAGGCATAAAGAACATCACAAACAGCATTATGCTAGTATAATAGTTAAGCAGGATTTGAAATTAAACTGCATTCAAATCTCTGTTTTATCTTTCCTAGAAATACTTAAACAGTTTAATTTCTCTGAGTCTTTGTTTTCTCACGTATACAATGCTAATAGTAGTACTGATATTATAGGATTGTTATGAGGATTAAATCAGATGATACACAAAGTCTTAAAAGAGTCTAGGTTAAAATGGCAAAATGAAGATACTGAACAAATGCGTTCCCTCCTAAAACTCAAGTAAAATCAAGAAAAGGGGTATTTTAAAAAAATAAACAAATATCTATATATATCCCAAAAGTACATATCCAGGAGAGGATATATTAACAACATAAATTTGACACTGCAAAGCTCGAGATGAACAAGTAGTCATGGTCTTGCAGATCCAAGAAAGCCAAATCACAACAGCAGTAATAAAAACTGAAAGTCAACCTTATTTACACCAAATAACCCTTTTGCACATAATTCACAGCACCAAGTTCCTCTGGATCATGAATCAGATAGGCTATTTACGTCAACAACAATACTGGAAGCAGGCCAAAAAATAACCAAAATCTTCAAAATATGAAAGAAAACAAGTTTCAATTTAGAATTCCATACCCAGCCAAACTATCAATTACATATTAGAGTAAAATAAAGATATCTTTAGACATGCAAGGTCTCAAAATTTTATTTTCTATGTACCATTTAAAATAATTTACTACAGTAGCCCTTCTCAGCTGGGGTTCTGCAATAGAATTAAGCCTAATGTACTAAGGCATCCACTGTTCAAGATGAATTAAATTTATCTCCCATGCATCTATAATATTTCCAACAATGCACTATATCTTTGAGAAACAGAGAAAATATTCCTATAGGACTTACTTCTGTCATGAGACTCCAGTTAAGAAAGGCTGTACTGGAAGATAAAACTGTACCAAAATGTGATAAATCAAGAATGCATGGGGTACAGAAACAGGACATCCAATATAAAAGAGGTGTCATTACCAAAAAGTCCCCCTGCCACTGCACCATCTTTTTTGACACATGGGCAAACTGCTTGGGTGAGCTTTGCCCAAGTTCTTTGTTGACACTGGCTTGTCTGTCTGACTGTATGCTGATAAAACTTCTTCTCTGTTCCTTCAAGCTGATGTTTGGATCAGCTGAGAATACTTCCAAAACAATGAAGCATTCTACTTTTTACCTAATCCTGGTTGAACATGGTGAACTAAAAAAGCAGAATATACCTCTCCTGGTCATATTCCTGCCAGGTATCCAGTAATTAAACCACAAGCAATAATGAATCTTGTGTTTCCCAAGACCCACTAATTATCTTGCCGAATGCTTTCTTCAGTTGTTAAACTCTCAAAGAAATCATAACCAAACTCTGGCTCAGAGACTCTTGCTCAGTTTATCTTCCAGCAATGTTGCCCTTTCCTTACCCAACTAGGTTTGGGCTTGCTACTGTTAAATAAGCAGGAGGCCAATGGCCTGAGGCTGTCTCTGTATTTTTAGTTCCTAATAATGAACTGCAAGCTAACTTTGGTATGTAAATGAACAGAAATCTAACTTAGGAGTCTAATATTTGTAACAAATAGGCTGATCTCAGCCAATCACAGCAGCTGAGCTTCAGACAATCACAGGCAACAAACTAATCAGATCATGTTCAAATAAGGCAGAAGCCCAGCTGTAGCCAATCATGCTACTTCTGTATTTCTGAGTTCTGTCTATAAATATTCACTGCTTATGTTTCAGAGTGGTGCTCTCTGGACCTCTTCTGGTTTTGAGTGTTGCCCAATCCATGAATCGTTCTCACTCAAATACACTCTGTTAAATTTAATTTGTCTGAAGTTTTTCTTCAAACACACTCTCAACAGTGTTTAAAGAAATAACCATAAATTGTCTAGATATGCATACATGATGGTAACATTACCAGAAAAAAAGAAAAGGCACAAAAAAGTGAGGATTCTGGTTACCTGGAGCACGTAGAAGGCATGTAAAGGGGAAGAGATAAGGATCAGGAGATACATATAAGAACTTCTAAAGTACTAGCAATGATTTCTTCTAAACCTGGTATGCTGGGTACGTAAGTATTGGTTTTATTATTATATTAACTGTAAATGCATTTTATGTACTCTTCAGACTGCATGAAACATTTCACAGTACATATACATGTAAATGTTTTTTTCTTAAAACAAAGTTCTCAGATTGTTGCTGGATACATAGAAAACATTTCATTGTAAGCTATTATTATGTCCAGGATCTTAATTCAACAGTTCAGAAAAGGCAGATAAGAAAAACAAAATATTACTAAATACCATAATAGCAGGATTTATTTTCCCTTCCCTGTTAGCCACCTGTTACCACTTTATCCTTCCTTCTACTCTTTGAGTAATCCTAACTCAAACCAGTCATCTGCACTCCTTCTCCCACAAGATGTAATCACCGGTGTTTAATTATTTAGAAATTCAAATAAGAAGGCCATCTTTCCTACTTCATCTGAATGGTGGTAAAATAAATGTGGTTTAGCCAAAGATGTACCATAGTTACACCAACTTCATAAAGCTTCCATTAACATTCTTTACGTTAAAGGTTTTAAAATACTTGGTAAGCTCAAAATGCCTGAGAAACTACTTGGCAAACTAAAAAAGTATTATTTCAAGAGAAGCAGTGGAAACAACATTATATGATAGAATATTTCTGGATCCTAAATCTGTTCAATTATTCTCTACAACCTACCTTGCCTATACATCATAGACTTATGAGGATGAAATTATATATGTATACTCGCACATATGTGTATATGTGTATTGTTTTGATCAATTTGATCATTTATGTTACATAAATGTAAAGTAGTAATAAAATAATAACATTACATTTCACATCTATAATTAAAAGAAAACCACTATATTACAATAATCTGAAGACAAGATGTAACTGCTATAGACTAATTTCACAAGGGAAACACAAATACTCTTTTCTTCAATAATTAAAAAAAAACTACTAAAAATTTTAATGGCAACTGTTCCTTCAAAATCAAAATCTAGATTATTCTAAAAAGCTAAAGATGTATTTTTAAAACATTATATATACCTTTGTGATTTCAATTTAATTTCAGAATTACTTATAATCACTACAGATTTTTGTAATTTTAAAGTAATACTAAGGACAAAAGAGCATCAACATTGCAAGATCATCATGATAGTTTTAAGTTATGTGAGGTATTTATGTTAGAAACAGATTCTGGTCTATGGATAAACATATACTTATTTAAAAGTGTTTTTCAGGATACAAGTCACCACACATTGTTAAGTTGAAAAATCAGTTTGGTGGGTCACAAACAGTGCTTCTAAAAATTAAATAGGTCAGGATAGAAAATATCAAAGTGCATCCTACTCTGACATTAAAAGGCAAGTTGTTTCATGTTGTTTTAGGCTTTTACATAATTATTTACTATGTTTTGGGTAGTGATATAAAATGTATTTCTTACAAGAGACCATGGTCCAAATTAGAAAACACTGATGTAAATGGTATCTTTCTTCTGAAATTCCTTAACATTAAAAAATAAATAATTATAAAATGTTATTGCCACCTTGCCACTGAAGAGACCAACTACATATATCATATATGGTCTAGTGGCTCTTTCCATTTGAAAATGGTAGACAAACAGAGGCAAATACCATAAAAGGTCATAAGAGTCTCTGAAATCTGCTAAATGCCCAGAGAAAATGCCCAGCCTACATTTCTTTCTATTGAGATAAAAGATTCAGACTGGGGAAGATAGCTCATTGGAAAATTAGAATTTTAATGAGTTGTCTGGACAAATTCCAGACCATCTCTATTTAAGAAAAAAAAAATGAATGGCAAACATAGCAGATATTCTGAAATAACCTAATTAGTATTTGGAAAAACCCCTTTCAATTCTATAAAATTCTATGTGCACACTCATGATAAAAAAACATTGAATTACATTAGGATGAAAGCACTGTAAGAGTTACACATTTTATCTTGAATCTCAAGATAATAAACCTAGGCTTTAAGAGATTTTAAAATCCTTAAAGCAGCAGGATGAGTTCGAGAAAGATCAAAACATTAAGAACAAAAATCAACCAACACGAATTTAAGAAAGTACTACGTCCAGACACATAGAGAACCACTACTCTATGAAATGAGTATCTGAAGACTGTAGTATACAAATTCAGCAGTAAGTTTCCTTATAGAACATGTGAATCAAATAAGAATATAGTTGACACATTAGAGCAGCTCAGGCTTAGTAAACAAGTCTATTCATAACATTAAAATTATCTATAAATCAAGATGCAGCACATAAACCAAAATGGGAGCAGATAAATCAAGATGGGAGATAATGAACTTTGCTTTAAAATAGAAAACACAATGATAAGCCTCTCTGTCAATTTCTATCCTCTAATAGAGCAAAGTAGTTTCTTAGCTGTAGTTAGCAAAATCTTACTAATCTTACTAATAATTACATGGCTGCAAATTATACCAAGCAATCTTATTATCGTACATTTCCTCAGAAAACATTGCTGTAGATTCTCCATTATCAGCATTAAATATGTCTCAACATGAAAGCACATGTAAATACACATACAAAAATAAAAGGATAGCTTAAAACAATTTTAGATTAGACAGCATTCTTATCCATGTACATATATTCATTGCAAGAAGTATACGACCGTACTTTCCTCTGGATAAAAAGTTCTTTATAATTTCATATATATAATTAAAATCATCCAATAAAAATTTAGTGAGCACCTACTATGTGTTGGGAACTATGTTAGGCACAGCTATGTTAGGCACCTTAGTTTCCGCTCTTACTGAGCTTTCAATATGAATGAGTACATGTTCATTATATGTTGACTGAAACACAGAGACATTATTCCCACAAAGTATTAAATGTTATACGAAATGCTTAGGTTTCATATAACAACAATCTATTCACAGGTTTGTGAATAGACTATTCACAAAAATCTATTTAACTAAAAATGTACTAAACTAATAGTACTTATCCATGTAACCATCACAATACTACCTCATAATTAAATAATTTTATAATTTTCATGAGTGTTTTTGTGTATGTTCTCAATAAATTCAAACAACAATGTGACATATAAAAGGAGTATTCTTGTTTTATGTATAAGGTAATCTGGATGAGAGGCACATATTCAAGGTCACACAGCAAATGAGCGACAGAGACAAGATTAGAATTCAGCCATGGGAATAATGCTTACTGTCTCTCTCCTTTCCCTAAGTCAGCCAACACAAATGCCAGTATCAAGCATTTTTTTGTAAGGTGAGACTCACAGACAAGGGTTTTAAAAAAAAAAAAGATGGTACCAGCTGTGACCTGGCTGTAGCCTTACTGATTCATGGTCTAGAAGGAGTCGTGCCTGCTCAGAAACTCACTTGGTAGAAACCATGCCCACTAGCACCCCTGGTAACAGGCCTGCTGACTTCCAACACAACTACAGCTCCTCAAACAGCCATGACCCAGCTCCAGCCCCACTCTAGACCTCAAAGACAATCCTGTCCGCTGAGTGACCTCTCTGGGGAACACAGTGGTAATACACCCAACCACATTCTTCTTAATGGACCTACCATCTACAGAATTGACTGAGGCCCTTCTGAATGTGGCCCTATATCATGATTTCACCCCTGCTGAACTGCAGTTCAGAGATAGGCTTGCTTGACCAAGAACCAGGCAGGAACCACATCCACCAATGCCCCAGGTAACAGGCTCACCAATAGCAGATCCGACAGAACCAGCTCCACTCCCACTCAATCACAATGTCAGAGGTAGTACCATGGGTCCAGAAAAATGGCAAAAGGAGGTCTTTATCTGTTGAATTCAGTCTCTAAGGACTGGAGGAGGTATTTGCTCCTTCAAATGCAGACACTAACATCAGTCTACATGAATCACAAAGAATCAGAAAAACAGGACATCACCAAAAGAGGCAAATAAAGCTCTGTAACCAATTCTAAATAAACATCATGAACTGCTTCACAAATAATTCAAAATGATTTTCTTAAAGAAGCTGAATGAGCTACAAGAGAATACAGATAGAAAATCTAACAAAATCAGGAAAACACTGTAAGACTATCTACAACATTTTTCAATGGAAACCTTGCAGGCCAGAAGACAGTAGAATGATATATTCAATGTACTGAAAGAAAATGTTGCCAGCCAAGAACACTTTAAAACGTGAAACTGTCCTTTAAGAATGAAAGGTAAAGACTTTCCTAGACAAACAAAAAATGAGGGGAGCTCATCCCCACTAGACCTGCCTTACAATAAGTGCCAGAGTTCTTCAAGTTAGAATGAGAAGATGCTAAACAACAACATAAAAGCATATGAAAGTATAAATCTGAATGCTAAAGATAAACATAAAGACAAACACAGAACATTATAATTCTGTAATGGTAGTAAATAAATCACTTTTATTACTAGTAAATAATTTAGAAGACAGAAGTAGAATAACTATAAAGACAAACTTATTGATAGGAACACAATACAGAAAGTAAAATGTGACATCAATTACATAAGTATGAGGTGGGGGGAGGTAAAATGTGGAGTATCTAAAGATAGCTGAAGTTTGTTATTAGCTTAAAATAGACTGCTATAACTATAAAATGTTTTATGTGAATACCACAATAATCACCCACAAAAAATGCACAATAGATTAAAAAGCTAAAGAGAAAGGAAAGCACACCACTGCCAAAAAAAGAAAAAAAAACACACAAAAAACAAAAAAAACCCACAAAGAAAGAAAATGAGAGAAAGGAAGAAGAGAACTACAAAACACACAGAAATCAATGAACAATATGGCAAGAATAAGTTCTTACTTATCAATAATTATTTTAAAGTTAAATGGACTAAAATTCCTAATCAAAAGAAATAGAGTCACTGAATGAATTAAAAACAAGACTCAACTATATGCTGTTTACAAGAAAATCAATTTAGATTTTAAAATATGCCTGAGCTTTCTGAAAGGGCAGTGGTGGAGAAAGATATTCTATGCAAAGAGTAGAAGTGGCTATACATGTATCAGGAAAAATGGACTATAAGTCAAAAACTGTCACAAGAGACAAAGGCCATTACAATAAAATGGCTAATTCAATAGGAAGACAGAACAACTACACATATATATGCACCCAACTTCAATGCACCTAAATATATAAAGCAAACATGGAGAGATATGAAGAAAGAAATAGACAGCAATATGATAATAGCAATTCAATACTCCACTTTTTTTTAGTGGATAGATCAACCAAACAGAAAATGAAAAGAAATGAACAACATTACAGACCAAATGGACCCAACAGACACACAGAATTTCCCCAACAGCAGAAGAATACATGTTCTTCTCAAGTGAAAATGAAGCACTCTTCAGGATAGATCCTATGTTAGGTAACCAAAAAAGTCTTAAAAAATTTAAAAGATCAAAATAATATCAAGTATCTTTATCACAAAGGAACGAAACAGTAAGTAATCAAGTAAAAGTATCAACTACTTACTGTTAAGTAATCGATAACAGTAAGAAAACAGAAAAATCACAAATAGATAAAAACTAAACACACTTGAACAATCATTAGGTCAAAAAGGAATTAAAAGAGAAATTTTAAAAACAAGACAAACAAAAAACAGAAATTACTAAAATTTGTGGAATGTAGCAAGAGCAGTACAAAAAGAGAAGTTCATGGTGATAATGCCTACATTTAAAAAGGAATACACTGGCTGGGTACAGTGGCTTATGACTATAATCCCAGCACTTTGGGAGGCAGGAGAATTGCTTGAGCTCAGGAGTTCAAAATCAGCCAGGGCAACCCAGCGGGACCGTGTGTCTACAAAAAATTTTAAAAATTAGCCGGGTGTGGTGGCACATGCCTGTAGTCTCAGCTACCTGGGACGTTGAAACAGAAAGAGTGCTTGATCCCAGGAGTTTAAAGAAGCAGTGAGACATGATCATGCCACTGCATTCCAGCCTGGGCAACAGAATGAGACTTTGTCTTAAAAAATAAGAAAAAGAAAGAAAACTCAAATAACCTACCATTATACTTCAAGTAACTAGAAAAAGAACAACAAACTAAGCCCAAAATTAGCAGAAGGAAAGAATAAAAATTAGAGCAGAAATAAATAAAAGGGAGAATAGAAAAACAATACAAAAAGGAGTTTTTTGAAAAGATAAAATCAACAAACTCTTAGCTAGACTAAGAAAAAAGAAGATTCACATAAAATCAGAAAAAATAGATATTACAACTATGAACAACTATACACATGATGTATACTTAATAAAATATTGGCAAACAGAATTCAACAGCACACTGAAAGAATCATACACTATGGTCAAATGGCATGCAAGGATGGTTCAACATATACAAATCAATCAATGGGATGAAAGATAAAACCACATGATCACTTTAGTAAATGTGGAAAAAGCATCTGAAAAAATTCAACATCTATTCATAACAAAAACTCTCAACAAAATAGGTATAGAAGAAACTTATGTAAACACAATAAAGACCACATATGAAATGCCCACTGCTAACATAATAAGCAATAGAGAAAAGCCAAAAACACTTTCTCTAAGATCCAGAACAAGGCAAGGATGCCCACTCTCACCACTTCCATTCAACCTAGCATTGGAAGTCCTAGCCAGAAGAATTAGAAAGAAAAAGAAATAAAAGGTGTCCAACAGGAAAGGAAAAAATAAAACTCTCCCTGTTTGCAGATGACATAATCATACACGTAGAAAACCCTACAGGTTCCACAAAAAAGTTTTAAAACTAATAAACAAATTCAGTAAAGTTGCAGGATACAAAAATTAGTGGTGTTTCTATACATAATGAGCTACTCAAAAAGGAAATTATAAAAACAATCCCAGTTACAATAGCAAAAAAAAAGAATACTTAGAAATAAACAAAAAGAGGTGAAAGATTTATACACTGAAAATTAATAGTGATGAAGGAAATGAAAGAAGACACAGATAAATGGAAAGACATCCCATTTTTGTGGATCAGAAGAATTAATATTGTTAAAATGTCCATCCTATCCAAAAGATCCACAGATTCAAAGCCATCACTATCAAAATCCCAATGCCATTCCTTAAAAAATTACCAAAAAAGGCTGGGTGTGGTGGCTCACACCTGTAATCCCAGCACTTTGGGAGGCCAAGGCAGGTGGATCATGAGGTCAGGAGTTCAAGACTAGCCTGACCAACATCGTGAAATGCCATCTCTACTAAAAATACAAAAAAAATTAGCCAGGCATAGTGACATGCACCTGTAATCCAGCTACTCAGGAGGCTGACACAGGATAATTGCTTGAACCCAGGAGGCGGAGGTTGCAGTGAGCCAAGATCATGCCACTGCACTCCAGCTTGGGCAACAGAGTGAGACTCCATCTCAAAAAAAAAAAAAAAAAAAAAAATCCTAAAACTCATATGAAATCACAAAGACCCAGAATAGCTAAAGAAATCTTGATCAAGAAGAAGAAAGAACAAAGCTGGAGGTATCACATTTGCTTATTTCAAAATATATTACAAAACAACAGTAATCAAAATGGTATAGCATTGGCATACAGACAGACATATCGACCAATGGAACAGAATAGAGAGCCCAGAAATAAGCCCACACATTATGGTCAACTGATCTTCAACCAGTGTGCCAAGAACATACAATGAGGAAAAGATATTCTCTTCAATAAATGGTGGTGGACAAACTGGATACCCACATGCAGAAGAAAGAAATTTGTCCCTTATCTCACACCATATGCAGAAATCAACTCAAAATGAATTAAAGACTTAAATGTAAGAGCTCAAACCATAAAACTACCAGAAGGAAAAGGGAAAAAAAGCTTCTTGACATTGGTCAGGGCAATGACTTTTGGGATATGACACCAAAAGCCAAGGCAACAAAAGCAAAAATAGGTAAGACTATATCAATCTAGAAAGATTCTGCACAGCAAAGGAAACAATCAACATAGTGAAATGGCAACTGAAAGAATAGAAGAAAATATTTACAAACCATGTATCTAATATGGGGCTAATATACAAAATATATTAAAAACTCAACTCAATAACAAAAATTTAAAAAATGAAAACAAACAAAATAACCTAATTAAAAAGTGAGCAAGAGACCTGAACAGGCATTTCTCAAAAGAAGATATACAAATGGCCATCAGGTATATAAAAAATGTTCAACATCACTAATCATCAGGGAAACACAAGTCAAAACCTCAATGAGGTATCACTTCATACCTGCCAGAATGGCCATTATCAATAAAACGTAAGTTAACTTTTCACTAGGATGCAGGGAAAAAGGGACTCTTTGTACACAGAAAATAAATTGGTACATCTATTATGGAAAGCAGTATGAAGGTTATTCAAAAGATTCAAAATAGAATTACTGTATGATCCAACAACACCACTTCAGAGTATATATCCAAAGGAAATGAAACCTGTATCTCAAGGAGATATCTGTACTCCCATGCTCACTATAGCATTACTCACAATAGCGAAGATATGGAAACAACCTAAATGTCCACTGCAGAGAATGGATAAACTGAGGTGTTTGTGTATATATCTACGTGTGTGTGTGTGTGTGTGTGTGTGTGTGTGCATATATACATAAATAGAATATTATTCAGCTTTGAAAAAGAAGGAAATCTTGCCATTTGTGACAACACAGACAATGCTGGAGGACATTATGCTAAGTGAAATAAGCCAGACATGGAAAGACAAATACTGCATGATCTCTCTTATATGTAGAATTTAAAATAGTTGAACTCATAGATGCACAGAATTAGAATAGTGGTTGCTAGAGGTTGGGGAGTGGAGGAAATGGGGAGATATTAGTCAAAGGGTACAAGTTTCAGATATGCAGTATGAATAAGTTCTGGGGATCTAATATATGCATAGTTAATACTGTATTAAATACTTGAAATTTGCTTAGAGGGGAGATGTTAACTGATCTCACAACACATGCCAAAAAATGGTAATGGTGAGGTGATAGAAATGTTAAGTAGCTTGATTGTGGTGATAATTTCACAAAACACCAAGTTGTACAAGAAATATATATTATTGATATTTGTCAATTACATGCCAATAAAGCTAAAAAATAAAAAGATCGTTCCAGGCAACAATACGATTTGTGGTGGGAAGGGAAAAAAATGAGTGACATCACAATGATGGTAAAGAAAGGAGAGTCTATAGAACCTAAATCACCCTAGTGGGTCTTCCTTTACATATAAGGGCAGTTTGCAAATCAGGGACTCAACCCAAAACTTTCAAAACATCAATTGTTTAAAGAATTCTGCCACTAGAAATCTATGCAAATATCATATTAGAAAGGGCCTACTACTCTTTCCAGGCACTATTTCTTCTCTATAACTAAGCTCTCAAAACATAAAGAAAATCTTACTCCCCACCATACATATTCAAATGCTCCAAAGGTAACTGGAGTCTTGCAGCCATTCTCTCTAAGCATGAAAACCAAGCTATGAGAGAATATTGAGAGAATATTGCTTATTCTAGAACGGCAAGCCTGAATACTGGTGTCTCCACTCCCTTTCCTAGCTGATGTTTATATATTGGTGCCAATGCTTGCATCTTTTTACTTACCCACCAGAGACTCTATCCAACCTTATGGGCTTTGTATTTGGATTACTGGCTGCCACACTCCAAAAATTTCCTGAATGATGAGCCTAACATTGTCCTTAAGAAGCTCTTTTGGATCCATGGTTGTAACCATGTTCCAAACTAACTTCATGGTTCATTACTTCATCTAAAAATGTAAGAATTTTCACATCTTTAGCATGTACCCACAATCCTCTCATATGGTAAATAACATAAACCAGTGGTCCCTAAATTTTGAAATTTGTGGACCAGTAAAATTCCACCCCCCCGCCCAATATCTATCTGCATTTTCGTCTTAATAAGACACATTCAAAAAAAAAAGAAAACAAACCTGTAACTACTCACATTCTCCATCAATTCATAAAGGGACATTAAATACCATACATTGGAAAAACTATAATCTTATAATAAAGGACAATGTTTTGAATTGAAGGAACTTAACTTAATAAAAAACTCATGGTAGTATACTCATTTTTTTCATCTAGTTACAGAACTAGGAAAACACGACAGAAACCAGTAACAGTCCACAAACTATACCTTTGAAAAGAAAGAATAAACATTTATTTTAAATATGATATACACAAGTTTATATAACACATGTGTATTATAAATACCTCCCACTCTTCCAGCCAGAGTTCACCATTTTCCCCAATTCTGTTTACTCATTCCATTGTTTTATCACATATCTATCCCTATTGCCTATAATGCATTGGTAAGTTTTACTTGTTTTTAAACTTTACATAAATGTCTTAACTTTAATTTGTTTCGTAAATTCTTCCATATTGATTCCTGTAGCTTTAAGGCATTCATTTCATTATTGTATGGTACTCTATTGTATGAATATATTGTAATATTTATTCATTCCACTCATGACAAACATTTAGGTTTAGGTTTTTTCAGGTGTTTTTCTTCTATTACCAACAATTCTGCTGGTACATGCGTGAGAGTATTCCTAGAAGCATAAAAACAAAGGATTAGAGTTTATCTTTAACTTTGCTACATAATGTCAAACTATTTTTCAAAAATGGTTCTACCAATTATGCTTCCATCCGTTGTAAATGGGAATTCATATGGTTTCATATCCTTACTGACACCTGTAATTATCAGACTTGAAAAATTTTTTTGATGTGGTGGGTGGGTATGAAATAGCAATTCATTACTATTTGGTGATTAACTACATTTGGTGATTCTTAATGATGTTGAGCATCATTTCACATTTATTGGCCATCCGTGTTACCTCTTCTGTTAGGTATCTATTCATGTCTTTTGGACATCTTTCTGGTGAACTTTTTGGTCTTTTTGGTTAATCCATAGGAGTACTTAACTTTCTCTGGATATTAATCCTTTGTTAGTTACATGCACTGCAACGCATCTCTACTCCCACCCTTGCCTGGTTCTGCTTTTCTTCAAGAGTATCTTGACTCTTCTTTGCTCTTTGCTTTCCCTAAAGAGTTAAGAATGGTCTTATCAAGTACTTTGAAAAAAATCCTGTTGAGATATGGATTCAAAATGCATTGAACCTATAAAATCAATGAGAAGTGATGTCACACTGGAAAAATGTTGAATTTTCCTATCGTAAACATGGTCTGTTTATTTAGAATACATAATCTTAGTGTTACACTTTCCCCACATAAGATAATTTCATGTCTCTTATTAGATTTACTGTTGTGTATCTTATTTTCTGTTATTTTAAGTAGTGTACCTTGAATCACATTTTGCTAACCACTTGTTATAGGCACACAGAACTGCAGTTAACATAAATTAAGTAAAACTTCTTCTTTTTTTATTTTTTATTTTTTTTGAGACGGAGTCTTGCTCTGTCGCCCAGGCTGGAGTGCAGTGGTGCGATCTCGGCTCACTGCAAGCTCTGCCTCCTGGGTTCACGCTATTCTCCTGCCTCAGCCTCTCGGGTAGCTGGGACTACAGGCACGCACCACCACGCCCAGCTAATTTTTTGTATTTTTAGTAGAGACGGGGTTTCACCGTGTTAGCCAGGATGGTCTCGATCTCCTGACCTCATGATCCGCCCGCCTCGGCCTCCCAAAGTGCTGGGATTACAGGCATGAGCCACTGCGCCCAGCCCAGTAACTTCTTAATAACTTTTTTTTTTTTTTTTTGAGGCAGGGTCTCACTCTGTCGCTCACGCTGGAGAGCAGTGGTGCGATTACGGCTCACTGCAACATCAACCTTCCTGTACTCAAGCAATTCTCCCACCTTAGCCTCCCAAGTAGCTGAGACTACAGGTGTGTGCCACCATGCCCGGCTAACTTCTTAATAATTTTAATGATTTCTGTGTCAATTAGGGGGTCTGTATAGAACAGTTATCAGTTTGTTTCTTCCTTTACTTTTTATTCACTGGCAAAATTTGAAATATTTGAGATGAAGTGTAAATAGTCCACGTCTTTTTCTCCTTCTAGATTCTAACTTCACATGGTTAGGAAAGATCAAGTCTATTCCTAGTTTGCTAAGAGTTTTTATCGTGAGTAGATGTTAAAATTTTCAAATATGTTTTCTTTATTAGTAGGATGATAACAGTTTTCCTTCTTTGTTAAAGTGTTAAGTGGAAATCATAGATTTTCTAATATCAAACCCATCCTTGCACTCCTGGAACAACCCTGATGTGAGTACAATGTTTACCTTGCTAGATTCAGTTTGCTAATAATTTTTGAACTTCTGCGTCTAGGTTCATGAACAAGAAATGTCTTATAATTTTTTTCTCTTGCAATGTCCTTGCCTGCTTCTCATATAAAAGCCTGATTTAAGGAATGTTTCTTTTTTCATTTTATCAGTTCTAAGATTTCACCAACTACAGGCTATATTCCTGACTTCAGAGAGCTCATAAAATACAGGGGGAGGTGGAGAGATTGATGGCAATTATAAGATATAGAGCACACAGGCCGGACGCGGTGGCTCACGCCTGTAATCCTAGCACTTTGGGAGGCCGAGGTGTGCAGATCACGAGGTCAGGAGTTCGACACCAGCCTGGCCAATATGGTGAAACCCCATCTTTACTAAAAATACAAAAATTAGCTGGGCATGGTGGCGCACGCCTATAATCCCAGCTACTCAGGAGGCTGAGGCTGGAGAATCGCTTGAACCCAGGAGGCGGAGGTTGCAGTGACCCAAGATCATGCCACTGCATTCCAGCCTGGGCGACAGAGTGAGACTCCATCTCCAAAAAAAAAAAAGATATACAGCACACATTCCAAACTCAGAATGATTTAAAAAAACTGTTTAACAATGACAATGACCAAGAGAGATTGTAAAACACCATCAATTTAAGATTCAACTCAATTTCAGAGATGACAGAATATGTATGTGCTTGGGGGGAGAGTGTTTTTATAATCAATGAAATGCAGTACTAATGTGAAATTACCTTTTTTTTTCCCTAAAGGCTTGGTAGGATTTGTTTGTAAACCTGAGTTTCATGTTTTCTTTGTAAAAGTAATCTGTATTACTAATTAGGTTACTTTAAAGATTATAAAAATCACTAGTATTTTCTAATTATGGAGTCAGTTTTGGGAAATCACCTTTCCAGAAATCTGTTCATTTCATTAAGTTTTTGAAATTTATTGGCTTACAGTTGTTTATAATATCTTTTAAACATCTACTTGTATTTTTAGTTGTGTCCCCTTTCATTCCTAATGTTTCTTTTTCCCCTTAAGCTTGCCAAAGGTTTGACAATTTTATTAGCCTTTACAAACAACCATCATCTTTCCTGATCTCAACCGTGTCTTGCCTTCTATTTAATTAACTTATTATCTTTATTATTATTTCCTTCCCTGTTTACTTTGGGTTTACTCTATTATTCTTTTTCTAGTTCATTACTTCTGAGCCTTTCTTCTTGCCAAATATCAGCATTAAGGCTATTATTTTTTAGATTTCCTGCTTGGGAATTGTGGGGCCTCCTTAATCAGACAGTTGTTGTCTTTCAAGAATTCTGAAAGATCCTCAGCTTTATCTCTTTTAAAAATGACTCTCACCCATTAAATTTCATTCTGCAACTGATAGTTCCAACTGATGCAGACTTTATACAGCTGCACAGTAGGTACCTCATGTGGATTCTCTCTGAAAATGGTTCGTTATCCCACGTATTGATGATTTTTTTTTCACATCCCCGCCAGCATCTGGTGGTGACGGTATTTTAGATTTTAAGCTACTCTTTCTTACAGGTGCACAATGGCATCTCATTTTAATTTTTTATTGATTTTAAATTATGAGCTCATATACACTTCTTTGAAGTCTGTGTTTAAAATACTCTTCTCTAAAGAAGATTTGTGTCAGTTCTTCCAGGCACTTGTGTATACTAATAACCCAAACTGTTTTAAACTAAACTGAAGGGTGTTTCTGCCACAGAGATAATATGGATTTTGACCCCAAACTCATATAAATATGTGCTTGTGTTTAGAATTTCTCAAGGAAGACTCTCTCCTCCCATCATTTCACCTAGAATCAAGACCAAAACAGGCAAATATAGTCTTCCTCTGTGGGTATGTTATCCAGTTCATTAACTAAGTACGTTACCCTTCAGGACCTCTAATTTTATGAGGAGAATCTTCAATCCAAATTTCCATCATGAATGGGCCACAGTCTTTTACTCCTTTCTCTTGCTAAAACTCAAGCTTTAGACCTTCAGAAATTAGCAGATGCTGGCTCCAGAGCTCATCACCTCTAGAGTCCCACTTTCTCAATAATTCTGCCCCTCCTGTTAATTCCCTTATTTTACTGACAATTCACATTGTAAATTTCTAAGACATTTTACTTCATATTTTGATGTTCTTACTAGAAGGATTTTCTCTGAACATCTACTTTGCTACGTTACTGGAACTGAAAGTTCACTTACATTAAGCTTTCATATTTCCTTATAATGTTTCCCTACTTCTTTCCCCTATATTTCCCAATTACAAATTAAACTCATGTGGGCAGGAGCTGCGAAAATCATCTTTGCACTTGCTTTCTACTACAGGACTATTTACAAGCAGGCTAAATGAAAGTCAGCTTGAAAGAGGAGACTCGGAAAATACTGAATTCCCCAGGGGATATTGGGCCATCTGTCAAAAACAACCTTCCTTTACCTGGAAAGAGATCAACTTGCTAAGATTTCATTGTTTCATTCTTAAATAAAATTTATGTATGTTCAAAGTTACAACAACCAAAAAAAAGAAAAAATTCTATGAAGCTGTTTACTTTCTCTCAAAAATTATACAAATATTACTTAACAATTCTACTGATATTACTTGGCTACATATTTATTAAAAATACAGAAAGTCCTCTCTAGGCCTCAGGTAAGAAAAACAAAATTGTAGTAGTCAACTCTACAGATAAAACTTTTACCACTCTTGCTAAAAAGGAGATTTCAATCTGTCCGACTTGCAAAACATAGAAGGCTAAATCCCAACAGAAAAGAGCTAAGAAACGAGTACAGGTAATAGTTGATCATTTTTTAATGTTATATTAAGTTAAAAAATATATAAAAGAACATTTTTTCAAGGAAAAAATACTCCTTATTTGTGACATCTTAAAATCAAAACGATTGAACCCATGGAGATACAGAGTAGAAGGATGGTTACTGGAGGCTGGGAAGAGTAGTGAGAGGGTGGGGTGGGGAAAGCTGGGGACAATTAATAGGTACAAAAAAATAGCATGAATGAATACAGCCTAGTATTTGATAGCATAACAGGGTGACTATATTCAATAATAATTTAATTGTACATTTTAAAGTAACTAAAACAGTATAATTGATTGTCTGTAACACAAAGGATAAATGCTCGAGGAAATACATAACATATTTTCCATGATGTGATTATTAGGCATTGCATGCTCGTATAAAAACATCTAATGTACTCCATAAATATTTATACCTACTGTGTACCCACAAAAATTAAAAATTATAAAAAAAATTCTTTGGTGTTCTTAATGTTCACCTTTCTGCTTTGTTAAAGAAACAATTAATAAGGCCGGGCAAGAATAAGACAGCTGCCCCCTATCTTTGTAAAGATGCTTAAAGCTGAATTATTCATTCTTACTTTTCAATAAATGCTTTCAAAGTATTTCAGTTTCTCCTGTAGGAATATAGGGACAGTTGAACAAAGATACCATAACATTTTATAAGAGATTTAAAAAACGATTTCATTTTTATATCCTGAATTTGCCAAATATTATATTCTCTTTCATTATTCAATAGGTATTTTCATAGTTCTATGAAGCAACTACCCAAAGACAAGGAACTTCAAAACAGAAAACAACCTATTTTTAAACATAACTTGAAATCTAAATTACAGATATTTAATGCATTAAGGATTTTAAAACTCAGAAGAAAATTAGCATAATCTGTAATTATACTATTTCTAAAGAAAACAACCTCTGGCTACAAACCAAAGCACAGCATTTTGGGGAGAAATTAAAGATAATGGAGGGGTGGGTCTAACTACAAGCCCTCTTTCAGGTAAAACAATTTTCCAAAATATAACATATTCAAGAACACATTTGTTATATGTGTACAGTCCCACATATGTTCATAATTGATACTAGAAATGTCTTAACAAGACAGGAGGAACTGCTTCAATTCATGGAGGAAAATGATTTCTAGGTCTTTCTTATCTGTGAACCACTTAAATGAAGGTACTCCATGTTAGTCACCTGAGATTATACCAGTAATGTGTAACGCTGTCACCCTGGGGAATCTGGTACAGTATCTTCACATCAGTAAATTGTATGAAAGAAAATCTCCTTTGAAGTTTTCTATGAAGTAGTGGATATTGACTTATCATATTTTTAGTGCTGCTAGAGCATTTAAAGTGAAGGGACTTTGCAGGTTTAAGAGAACGTACTAAGGGATAAGAGACACAAAACTAAAAACAGATATTTTAATTTGAGCCTAGCTAAACCAAGCATAGTCTGTTAATTTTGATAAAACTGATTAAGCAGGTTAAAGTTTTTGTTTTAAAAGTTTTAAAATTTTAAACATTTAAAAACTAGTTTGAAATGGACTCATTTGTAAGTTTTAGTAAAGCAATATTATATATTCTCTCACAAAGCACTATAATTGAAAGATGGTTTTTTAAAAATAAAAACATACAAAATAGCTTTTTACAACCAAGAATGAGAGTAGCTACAAGGTAAGTTATAGTATTTCATGAAGCTTTGATAATAATCTCAAACAGGACACAGAAGAATGTGTGTCATGTTTGCCTATTTGCCCATGAGATGAGCTATAATTTAGGCTCCAGGCTCCTTTGGCATTGTCCTTAGTTAAAAGCAGAGGAGGAAAGGGTGAACGCGAGCCTAATTAATCTACATTTCTGTCTTCTTTTTCATTTTTTTGAGACAGAGTCTTGCTCTGTCTCCCAGGCTGGAGTGCAGTGGCGCGATCTTGGCTCACTGCAACCTCTGCCTTCCAAGTTCAAGTGATTCTCCTGCCTCAGTCTCCCCAGTAGCTGGGACTATGGGCATGCACCATCATGCCTGGCTAATTTTAATATTTTTAGTAGAGATGGTTTCACCATGTTGGCCAGGCTGGTCTCAAATTCCTGACCCCAGGTTATCTGCCCCCCTTGGCCTCCCAAAGTTCTGCTATTATAGGCATGAGACACTGCACCCGGCCCTTACATATCTGTCTTTCTTAATAAACAATTGAAATATGTTCGGCTCAAATAAATCAAAACAAATACCATCCTCTTTAAGAGACTATAATTTTACTTAAGGTAAAATTATTTTAAAGTAAACTGATACTAAGCCTTTGAATAAGGAACACAATCTGGAAAATACATAATTTCTTGAATAATCTAATTCACCAAAATCTAAACATATAACAAACAAAAATGTATTTTGATGTGTGTGGGGTAAGGAGAGTCAGTCTCCCCAGCTCTTAAAAAAAATCCTAAAACAATAGAACAAAACCAGAGTGCAAAAAACTTTAGAACAGCTTTTAAAGAATGATGAGCTACATTAAGTTGGTATGAGTCAATATACATAACAGAGATTCAGCCAGAAACATGAATGAGAATAGATGAAATTCTTAAATTGATGGTAAGCAATCATTCATTTATTATGAATGTAATTTAAGGCATTTAACTCTCTTTACAACACTGCTTGAAGAAATCAAACATACCTATTATAATAACAATATAAAGCAGCATATTGTGAAATCCCCAAAGCAGTGATATAAGAATTTTGAAAACTGAGATAACAGTATCACCTAAGAAAGCCTTACAAAAGAGAACAGATTTAAACTACACCTTCTAGAATGAGAAGTATTTGGATAAGCAAGTAGAAAGGAGAAGCATATTCCACTATAGAAGACCAGCACAAATAAAAGTACAGTCTCACTGGGAAACAGTGAAGAAAGCTATCTAGCTGGGTCCACGATGATGAGAAACACAAGATGAAACTGGAAGAGTACAGTAAAATCAGACATACTAAGAACCTTGACTACCAAAGATATGGAAGCCTAAATTTATGCTCTCAATTGCTGGTTTCCACTTGCTGGTCCAGAAGTTGCTACATCAGACACACTTGGAGAGCTTTATAAACACATTATGTTACTGAGCCTCACCCTTAGAGATTCTGAAAGAGTGGAGTGAAATCTATATCTAAGCAAAGCTTCCAGGTGACTCAGATATAGCCAGATGTAGGTGCTACTGCTCTAAGCAACAGTAAGCCACTGCCTTTTTGAGAATGAGAGGGACATAAATGTAGCCATCTCATTAGTTTTTTTATAGTTAAAAGCTTTAATAATAAAAAGTGGTACTTTCACTTAAAATTTTATATTTCTCTTTTATTCATATTATTTCCCTCAGAGATCTACTTCATAGGATCCATGTGTTCTCTGGTAATACACACCTATAAGAACCCTGAACCCATCATAATCTCACCAAAGTATGTAAAAAATAATTTTCTGTTTGGTTGTTTTGTTAAGAAAGATGAACTGGTATGTTGGAGGGCAAGGTTCTAATAGCAGTTAGGAGGCTGTGGTACTACTCAGTAATGCAGGCATAAAATGATAGAGATCTAACCAAGATGGTAAAAGTAAGAATAAAAATCAAGAGATAAATCAGAGCCTTGACACTTTATAACTTCTAAAAGAAAACACAGAAAGTATCCTTTGCAACTTTAGAGTAGGCAAAACTTTCTTTAATAGGAAAAAAGTTTGAATCATAGGAAAAACTGATAAATTGGGCATCAATGAAATTAAAAACATCTGCTCTTAGAAAGAAAGCATTAAGAAAATAAGAAAGCATGCCAAGACTGGAAGAAAGTACTCTCAATACACATGGCTATCAAAATGATATTAAAATGTATTAAAGAACCTTTAAAACATAATAATACAAACAAGACAATTTTCAAATGGGCAAACATATGAAATGATACTTTGCAAAAAGAAGATGTAAAAGATGGCCAATGAGCATATGAGATGCTCAAACATCATCAGTAATGAGGGAAATGTAAACTGAAACCACAATATACCACTAAACACCTACTGGAATGACTAAAATAAAAAAGATCAAGGATGTAGAGCCACTGGACAGCTCACACACTGCCTAAGAGGAATGTAAGAACGGTCCAACTACTTTGGAAAATGGCTTGGCCATTTCTTATAAAGTGAAACAAACACTCACCACATGATTCAGCAATTGCACTCCTAGGTACTACCCCCCAAAAAATATATCTCCAAAGCATTGTATACATAATGGAATTCTATCAAAATACTCGACTCAAAGTTTGAAAAATTTGAACCTCCAAAAATATGACAAAATTGACTGGAACTTAAAAAGTCTGAGTTTAAGTTCAAATTTTAGCTCTACTACATACTATGTAGACTTGTAAACCTTACCAACTGCTCAGTTTCCTCATTTGTAAAATGGGGGGAATAATGATTTATATACCATAAAGTCCTCGTAAGAATTCCATGAGCTAAGGCATATAAAAGCCCTCAGAGACATGAGGACCTTTAAATGTTATGCACTATATTATCAATAAGCTTTTGGAACTCTAATTCTTTCCATTCAGAAGCTAAAATGCTGATCATGAGTACTTGAGATAAGGCAGATACATCAGAGGTTTTCTGGACATTGGTTTATCTCCTCCAGCAGTTAATCTTCACCATGACCAAAAGCTAACAGATAATCTTATTTCAAACAAACCTCCTACACATGAAAACTGTGATATGGAATTTCAGTGGATAAACCAGAGGAAGGTATTTTGCTTTACAAAAAGCCAATGACTTTTAAAGAAGTACATCTACTATGTAATTTACTCTAAAAATATTAATTTATTCATAAACTTACCTAGGAACATTTAAGTGCAAATAAAGATATGACTAACACCGTGGCTGCTTTAAATTAGAGGGTTATATATGGGCCATCCATACTAAAAGAAGTTCTAAATGAGCCTCTAAAAGATACTGAAGTATAGCAAAGCCTAAAATGTCAGCCTTCAACCCAAATGGAATCATTTTTTATTTAAAATACTGATGACAGTAATGATAATAATATTATTATATCAGCGATCATGTGTGGTTATCATCTACCAGGTGCTAGGCTTTATATACATATTAATTCATTTTAAACCTTAATAAAATCCTATGTGCTAAATACTATTATCTTCACTTTACCAATGACTGAAACACAATGAATATATTAAAATCCATGAGTTCCTCATGATATTAAAAAAACTTAAAAGGCAAAAAGAATTTGTCACCACTGGAAGTAGACTTCACATTACGCCTTCAATCAAAAAATTAATACTTTGCAGTAAACAAATACCCACACAGCCTACCTTTTCTGTAGGAACTAACTATATTTCACATTTACCAAGTAACCCTAAGTGATGATCTTGTCTTTAAAGATTTCATTAACACATATAACAAGAATGACAGAATTATAAAATCACTATTTTTCAACTCCTAATATTGTAACTGATTCAGTTAATGATCATCAAAGGATTCAAACATCTTTCAGTAAAAAGTTGATGGGGGACACGATTTTTGCAAGGTGCCAAATATATCATCTTTATCTTCACTTTCAAGTCATAAAGAATGAAAAGACGCAACTTTCAATGAAGAGAATCAGGCTATCCTCACCTAAATCTACCAATCTTGTATCACTAGCAGCAGGACAATCAGATATTAAGTGAATTCTTATGTGATGCAGCATGAAGTACTACACACTCCCTACAAAGTATTCTTGCCAAAAATGCTCTAGCTAGATATAATCGAGCCTTTGCATTTAACTTCTAGTTTACAGAAAATATAGAAGATACAGAAACAAATTAAGTAATACCGCAAAGATGTAATCAAACAATCTAAAAAAGTCAAACACTCTACAGGACACTGGCCTAGATCCATTTTTTTTTTTCCTGAGATGGAGTTTCACTCTTATTGCCCAGGCTGGAGTGCAATGGCGCGATCTCGGCTCACTGCAACCTCTGCCTCCCAGGTTCAAGTGATTCCCCTGCCTCAGCCTCTCAAATAGCTAGGATTACAGGTGCCCGCCACCAAGCCTGGCTAATTTTTTTGTATTTTTAAGTAGAGATGGGGTTTCACCATGTTGGCCAGGCTGGTCTCGAACTCCTGACCTCAGGTAATCCACCCGCCTTGGCCTCCCAAAGTGCTGGGATTACAGGCATGAGCCACTGCACCCGGTCAGCCAAGTTTCTTAAAACCGTCAAAGACACAAAAGAAAACAAAAGTAAACAAGGAGACTCTTTAGGATTAAGGACGTAATGACATAACCAAATAAGATGTATGGACTTTATTTGGTTTCAGCAAGCCTACTGTAGAAAGATTTGGGGAAAACTAGGCAAAATTTAAATATAGACTAGGTGTTAGGTTATGTTAAGCAATTATCATCAGTTTTGTTAGATGTAATAAAGGTTTTATGGTTACATAAGAAAATGTGCTCATTTTTTAGAGACACATTAAGTATTTTGGGGTACGTCATGAAGTCTGTAATTTACTCTAAATATTCACGCTGTACCCTAAATAAATGAAACAAACAAAACAAAAGGTTAATAACTCCTTACATCTATACAATGGGTATATTAGTGTTCACTGTACTCTTTTTTTAACTTCCCTGTTTGCCTGAAAACATTCATAATAAATATAAACAAGTGTAGTTTTAATTATTAGTAACTAACCCTTTTGTTGGTTCATTAACTCCTAAGTTAAAGAATTCCTCTAAATATTCTAGTGCACAGATACATGCATCAGAGAAACCATATCTATTATAGCCAAAATTCTGATGCACAGTGCAAAAAAAAACCAGGTCAGTTGCATTGTTTCAGAATTTTATCTTAATGAAGCTTATTTATACCAGAGTGTGTATCATATATCGTTTTTCAGGTCTTCCAAAAAGCATTTTGGCAACAAAAATGCTAACTTTTCAAAAATACAATCGACAACTAAGCAATATATGTTATAGTAATTATTTTCATCTTGTTACATAAATTTTTATAGTTCCTACCATGCTATATGAAAGTGTTTCCATCTAATATATGACTAGATAAACATTTTCTATTGAAATAAAGTAGAGGATGGGTGCGGTGGCTCACGCCTGTAATCCCAGCACTTTGGGAGGCCAAGGTGGGCGGATCACAAGGTCAAGAGATCAAGACCATCCTGGCCAACACGGTGAAATCCCGTCTCTACTAAAAACACAAAAATTAGCTGGGCATGGTGGCATGCGCCTGTAATTCCAGCTACTCAGGAGGCTGAGGCAGGAGAATCGCTTGAACCCGGGAGATGGAGGTTGCAGTGAGCTGAGATCGCGCCACTGCACTCTAGCCTGGCGACAGAGCAAGACTCTGTCTCAAAAAATAAAGAAAGAAAGTAGAAAATGATCATGTAACTTACTATTTACAAGGTAGTACTCATTTGAAAAGTTACTAAAGCCAAATTTCAAAAGATAATTCATAAAGTTACAACATCAAAACTGACTAATTACAAAGTATGACAGAACTCTAAATTTAATTTTTAAAAATACTCAATAACCTAAGTATACATTAACTTTCAAAACACCAAATTTCATTTCTCAGTTTTAAAAGCAGAAGTCCTTCCACCACAGCTATGAGTAGTACCACAGGAGATTTCCGTACATTTGATTAAATAAACTTCAGCTGAGGAGCAGAATCCATTATACAAAACTTATCAATTATGAATTAGAAACTGTGATCCCTGAACTTCTGGGAGTACCCAAAGACCCTTCTAGAGGATCTGCAAGGTGAAAACTAGTTTCATAATACTTTTTCATTATGTTGCCATTTTCATTGATGGCACAAAAGCAATCTTGGGTAAAACTGCTGGCAACTTAGCATAAATCAAGGCAGAGGCACCAAACTGGAGTAGTAGGCACTGAATTCTTCAGTCATGCACTCACAGAAGAATGACAGTTTCACTTACAGATGTCCTTGATGAAGAAGTAAAAATTATTGCTCTTGAACCTTTAGTACGTAAGATTTTAATATTCTGTGCAACAGAATGAGAAGCATACATAAAGCCCTTCTCTGTACTATATTTTTTAATGTGTCAACACTTGGAAGATCTGCATAATTCAGTGAGCAAATATTTTCCAAATGACTAATGCATGATGTTACAAAATCATGCATGAGTAAAGAGCCATTCAAAATTCAAGAGTGAATTTTAACAGAGTATGAAAAGTGTACTGACAGCGTTTCAGATTCCAGATTGCAATTAACATAAAGAAAATTACTACTAGTCAAGTTTTGGCATATTATCAAAGAATATCTATAATTATGTATAAACCCCCCCCATATATATATATGCATGAGACCAGATTTTATTCATATACTTCAATCGGATCATCACATCACAACAGACTGCAGAAGCAGATACAAAAATGCAGGTGTCTTTTAAGCTAGACATTAAAGTGATTTGCAAAAACCGCCAAAAAGCAGTTCTTAATCATGGATGGTTTTGTCCCTCAAGGGATACTTGGCAACATCTGGAAACATTTCTGGTTGTCACAACTGGGGTAACTGCTATTGACATTTTCTGGGTAGAGGCCAGGGATACTGCTAAACATCATATAATGCATAGGACAGCCCTCCACAACAAAGAACTTTCCAGGCCAAAACAGTGCCAAGGTTGAGAAGTCCTGAAAATAGTTCGAAGGTTGAGAAGTCCTGGGATAAACCATTACCAACCTTCTCAATCAACTTTTTGGGGAGTAGAGGGAAAGAAAACACTGTAGTTCTTAATAAAAATGTTACTTACATTAACATGTAATGGGTTTATTACTTTAAATGAATTAAATTTTTAAATTTCTAGTTTTAATTTATAATATAATAAAATAGATATAACTCACATAAACAAAAGCACTTCACAGTCTTCAATAATTTTTAAGACTACAAAGGAACCATGAGACCACAAAGTGTGAGAATCGCCAAATTAGATGAATGATATAACTAACGAAGTATGTTGGAGAATATTAAAAAAAATTAAAAGTCTAAAGGAAAGTGTACTCATTTCAAGAGTATTATAGATGACCTAAACAAAACAAACAAAACCCCTTACAAAACCAAATAGTTAAAAAGAAAAAAAATATGATAGTCCCCAAATGTCATTCTCCCCTTCTCCCCTCCAAAAACAAAAACAAAAACAAGACAAAACATGAAAACCACAACTTCCTACCCTGGCTATGAGGACTTGCTGGACTAAGAGATGGCTGATGCAAATCTTTGGTTGGCGTTGGATAAGCTTCTTTTCCTTGGCGCTGACTCATCTTTCCTGGTGTCAGAAGCTGAGATTCGTCACTGTTTGCTACAACAGCTCAAGGAAAGAAGGGAAAAATAATTAGTACTGAAGTCACAGATTTACATAATAGTATAGTTAATAACATGGAATAAGATCAAAACTGAAATGGCCTTGGTGGTTATATTCATTTTACCAACTCAATACTTTAATAAATTCTCACAGTCATCTTGTTTTCATGTTGGTTTGTTACTGATCCAAGAAGAACTGACAGGTATGTTTGAGTCAAATATACAAATTATAGACATTATAATAATGAAAATACATATCCAACTGATAATGAAAGGCCTAAGGTTTACTGTGTGCCTTTCATTGTGCTATTTATTCTTTATATTTACCAACAAAATAAGCCAAAGCCAGTCATTTCCCAAAAAAAAAAATACAAATCGTCGATAAACATATAAAGATACTCAGCCTCATTAGTAATCAGAAAAACTACAAATTACTAGCAGTATAAAATAATATTTGACATTCGCTAGAATTTCTACTCTAATTTCTAATTTTCACGAAAAGTCGGTATGATAACTGTTTTAGAGAGGAGGAAACTTGAGGGTCAGAGATTGCCTTGCCTGAGGCTAAACAGTAATAGAGGCAAGATTCTAACTCAGAACCATTTGGTTCCAAAGTCTGTCTCTTAAAGCTTGCTGCCCCAATAAACAATTTAAGTAGTGCTTTGTAGTTGCTTCTCACCCATTTGGCCATCCTACTATCTATCGCTCAGTAATAGCGAGCCATGCCCAGTTTCAGAGAGCAGAAACAAAGTGAAAACACTCAATGAAGAAACAGGGCAAACTGCCAAGTCCAAAGTACCTGAGGATCTCCACATTCTTTCATTTTATATTCCTGTGCTTTCAGCCTATAAAAACTCGAGTTTCATCTTAAGAAAGGACGATTTACTAGCACTTTGGGAAGTCGAGGTAGGTGGATCACCTGAGGCCAGGAGTTCGAGACCATCCTGGCCAACGTGGCGAAACCCCGTCTCTACTAAAAATACAAAAATTAGGCAGACGTGTTGGCGCGCCTGTAATCCCAACTACTAGGGAGGCTGAGGCAGGAGAATCGCTTGAACCTGGGGGGCAGAGGTTGCAGTGAGCAGAGATCATGCCATTGCACTCCAGCCTGGGCAACAAGAGCGAAACTCCACCTCAAAAAAAAAAGACGGTTTAGTCTCCACCATAGGTTTTATTTTTCAATACAGACATTCAGAATTTCACATTCACCTTTTTATCATCATGTCCTTTAAATCTAATTGGTTTAAAATGTTTTCTGTTGCGATAGTTTTCAAAATTTTATTTCAGCTCCTTAGATTCCAAAGTAAAAATACAAAAACACTTGCACTTTTCATCCAAAATATAAAAAATTATTTTTCCAAGTCAATTAAAAAAATGTATAGACTGATGACTCCCAACTTCCTATCTCCCCCTAAACTCAAACTTACATACCCAACTGCCTGCCTTATAATCACCTCTTAATTATTTACAGGCATCTCAAATTTATCTAGAATGTAATTTTTGATTCTGCTCATCCTTCAAACCTGCCTCTCCCCAAACTCAGTTCATGCCATCACTACTCCCCTCCCACTACTTTCTCAGGCCAAAACCTTAGATGTGTTTTTATTTTTCTCTTTCTCTTACTGAGCAATCTTTTAAAATCATAAATTAGATTTCCAGTATGCAGAAATATCCTCACTGGCTTCCCATTACATTTACAATATAATCCATAACCTGGAAATTCAACACAGTCTGGCCTGCTACTTGTTCCAACCTCATTCTCTACTACTCTCCTGTCACTCACTTGGCTCCTGCCGTAATAGTCTTCTTGGTATTTCCTCAAGAAAGGCCATCTTTTGCCCAGTCACAGGGCTTTTATCTCTTGCTCTTTCTACCTGGAATATTCCTACCCCAGATCATCACATTATTAGCTCCTCTCCTTTGTTGTCTGGGCTCAAAGGTCATCTCTTCAGAAAAGCCCTTTGGTTTCTTCATGGTACTTTTGATACGTTCTTAATTTCAACATGGCACAATTTGGCATTTTTTTTTTTTTAGGGTTAGTACCCACCACTTCACAGTTATACTATTATCACTTTACCTTACATGATTTTCATTGTAGCTCCTATCATTATCTGAAAAATATAGTTTATTGCTTTTCTTCCTCCATTAGACATTAAATTCCATGAGAGAAGGAAGTTTTGTCTGCCTTATTTTCCCATAAATTCTCAGGTCCTGGTAAACTTCCTGCCCTATTGAAGGTGTCGCATCCTACCATACTAAAGATGTTCAATAAATTTATGTTGAATGAGTCAATAAACCAACTTTATATTTTTATAAAACATCATAAAGTATATGGTGTCTCTTTCAGTTACTAAATCCAAGATTCATTTGATTCCTAAAAATAATTTTAAATGTATGGTACTGATGCAGAGAGATAAATTGACCTAAAGAACATAGCAGATAGCTTTCAGAAACAGACACATACATACATGGAGCTCAGATATACAACAGAAATAGGGAGAATAAATTACTCAGTTAACAATATGAGGTTATCAACTGGTCATCAATATTGGAAAAGTAGAGAGAACTCTACTTCTTACCACACACAAAGAATAGTTCTATGAAGACTACAGACATAATGTAAAAAAGCAAAACTGGAAAATCTTTAGAATAAGAGAATATCTTCATAAACTTGGGACAGAGATTCCTTTAAAAAGACACAAAAAAGCACTAACCCAAAAATTAAAAAATCAGTAAGTTCAATATTAAAAGTATAAATTTATTTAAAGGTATCATAAACTGAAAAGGCACAAAATAAGATATTTGCAACACCCATAATTAACAAAAGGTTGGTACCTAGAATGTTCTTAAAAAAAAACTTCAATAAATCATTAGAAAAAGAACATCATAATAGCAAAATAGGGCAAAGACTTGAACAGTGATTCACAAAAGAAAAATGCAAATGGGCAATAAATGTATGAAAAGATGTTCATCCTTTTTTAGTAATGAGGCAAATACAAATCAAAATAATAAATATTTTATACTCAGTAAAATTAACAAAAATTAATGTCTGATAATACCAAATACTGATGAGGATGGGATCATCGAGATGTCTTAAGCACTGTTAATGGAGTATAAGTTGATACAAGCACTTTGGAAAACAATGTGAGCTTCTTATATAAAACTGAATACCCTGTGGGTCCAACAATTCCACTCTTGGATCTAGAAAAACTTTTACAGGTATATACCAAGAGACAAGAATAAGAATGTTCATAGCAACACTGTTCATAATAGCAAAAACCAAACAACATATTCATCAATTGAAAAATGAATTTTAATAAATTCTGGCATATCCATATAATGAAATAGTATATAGCACTAAAAAGGAATGATCTAGTTCTATAACAAACGACATGATTGAATATTAAAAGTAAAATGTTAATTACAGCCAGGCACAACGGCTTGCATCTATAATCCCAGCTACTCAGGAGGCTGAGGTGGGAGGATTGCTTGAGGCCAGGAGTTCAAGACCAGCCTAGACAACATAGCAAGACCTATCTCTAAAAGAAATAAAAATTAAAAAAAGTTAGCTGGGCGTGGTAGCTCACACTGTAATCCTAGCATAGCAGGCATCTGTAGTCCCAGCTACTAGGGAGGCTGAGGTGGGAGCATCACTTGAGCCCAGGTGTTCAAAGCTGCAGTAAGCTGTGATAACACCAATGCACCCTAGTGTGGGCAACAGAGCAAGACCCTGTCTCTTTAAAAAATTAAAAAAAAAAAAAAAAGGTAACTACAAACAGCAAGTCCTAGAAAATTATATAAACCATGACACCATTCTTTTAAAATTGAAAACCAAGCAAAATCTAGTGATACATACATGAGTAAAAAACAATAAAAAAAAGACTTTTTAAAAAGCAAAGAATAATAAAAAGAAAAAAATACAACCTAGTCATGCCCTCTTGGGGCAGGCTCAGGGATAAAAAAGCAGCAGAGGCCGGGCGCGGTGGCTCAAGCCTGTAATCCCAGCACTCTGGGAGGCCGAGGCTGGTGGATCACGAGGTCAGGAGATTGAGACCATCCTGGCTAACACGGTGAAACCTCGTCTCCACTAAAAAATACAAAAAAAAAAAAAATTAGCTGGGCGTGTTGGTGGGCACCTGTAGTCCCAGCTACTTCGGAGGCTGAGGCAAGAGAATGGCGTGAACCCGGGAGGCGGAGCTTGCAGTGAGCCGAGATTGCACCACTGCACTCCAGTCTGGGCGACAGAGCGAGACTCTATCTAAAAAAAAAAAAAGCAGCAGAAAGACCTAAGGTACATGGAAGATTCTAGTTCTTAAGCTGAGTGATAGCTCAATAAGGGCTCATTGTATAATTATGCTCTCATTTACATATGACACATATTCTTTTGTATGTATCAGACAGAACATTTAATGCTAATTTAAAATACTTTATAAGAACCACTAGCAGAATTAATGTAGGTTTTAGCATTCTGTCAGTAAAACATAGGTGTCCATGTCTTGAATAACTTTAAAACAGCCTGAACTGTAAAGTTAGCTCTATTCACCCTTTCTAATCCATTTTCGATGGAAGTATTACTACATGATTTTGATAGCCGTGAAGTAACAAGAATATGCAGAAACAGCAGTATACAGAGTGCACCTCTTTACCAAAAAAACCAGAAAGCCCATGTTTCTATTTATTTTCCCTCACCCCATTCACAAGCATTAACAACTATACAGACAAAAGAGGCTAGGGAATATAAAAATCATTATGATTTCCTACATCAGTTACATAATAGTAGACTATTCAAACATAAGTTTAAGAGGGACAGTGACTTTTTTTCTGTATCCCTTGGCATATAACTGATACTCACTAAATACTCTCTAAATGACTGAATAGATATTTGGCAAATGAATCACTGTGTGACTCCAGTGCAGTTTCACCGTCTCACCTACCAAAGATAACATTACAGTGCCCTCTGCTGTTTCTACTTCAAGTGGAAGTAAAGCAACCTGCTTTGCTACTCACATTACTCATCTTTAGTAGAAATCACACTGAAATAGTTAATATAATTAACATATCTGCTGCATCTAAGGAGAACATGAATCAAAAACATTTTTACCTTCTGAATTCAACTCATCAATATAAAATTTGAAGAATTTTACAAGTTTCAAAGTTTGCCTTTAATCTAAGTGGAAGCTAAAATAAGATGAAGTAATTTTTTAAAGTCATAAATAATAATCTGTATGTAAATCCTATATCTCCTTTTCTTCTAAGGTATACATTTCTTAAATACTCCAATAATTTAAATGTCAGTATAGATCACGTACTTTTTTCATTCTATAGTACATGATACTAATCAAGTACCAAGAAATTACAGCTGACGTTTAAGCAGTCAAAAATGTGTATTTAGGGACTGGGAGTGGTAGCTCACACCTGTAATCCCAGCACTTTGGGAGGCAGGCAGATTATTTGAGGTCAGGAGTTTGAGACTAGCCTGGCCAACACGGTGAAACCCCATCTCTACTAAAAATACAAAATTGGCTGGGCATGGTGGTGCACGCCTGTAATCCCAGCTACTCAGGAGGCTGAGGCAGCCCAGGTTGTGTCCTTGCACTAGGTGACAGAGCAAGACTCCGTGTCAAAAAAAAAAAGTGCATTTAACTTTTGACCCTCCAAAAACTTAAGTACTAATAGCCTACTGTTTGCTGTTGACTGGAAGCCTTATACATAATACGAAGAGTCAACACATATTGTATATGTTGTATGTATTACATATTGTATTATGTAATACAATATATACATAAGCTAAAGAAAATGTTATTAAGAAAATCATAAGAGAAAATACAATTACAGTACTATACCATATTTATTGATACCATAAGTTTATGCCATCTGTTTACAAGATGAATCATCAGTTTGAAATAGCAGCAACCACAGCTGCAGACCTCAATCTAGAGCTAAATATTAAGCAATTAAACTTTTTCTTGTAATGTCATGGCCTTTGTCTGCTTCTTGGGAGCAACCGAAGCATCAACAGTGGTACTTCACATGGGTCCCATAGCGTTATTCAAGGTTTACAATATTGCACGAAACATGATGAAAATAGGCAAGAATGATGAGAAATGACTTTTTAAAGCAATATGCAATTTACTGGAGCAAATAACTTCATACAGAGATGATTAGCATCACACAGCATTTTAAGCAGATATTCGCAACACCTGAGCTCATAGTAATAACAGGAAGTGGTTAGAAAATTATTACAGTAGTACGGTATGTACTAGTTAATGTTATGTAGTTACGATTTAATATTGTATCTTTATGTTTGTTTACATTTTTCTCAACTGGGAATGGCAACGTGTACGGTGTGTGTGAAAAGTTTTGATAAATTTTTACTTATGTAATAGATTTGTGTATATTTTAAAGTAGTAAGAAAATAAACTAGTACCTACATATATTTTATGCATTCATGATATACCTAACCTTTCCTTTATTTTTTCTATGTTTCTAAGGTACAGTTCATCTGTGAGTTTTAAATTGTCACAAACCTCAGAAAAATTTTCCAATATATTTATTTTTAAAAATACACATAGAAGTGGACTCGTGTAGTTAAAAGTTGTCTTGTTCAAGGGTCAACTGTACTTCACTTTAAAAGATATATGGTCTCTAACAAATGATTATACAGACCCAGCCTTTTAATACTTGGCAGAGTACATGATAAAGTCATCTCTAATATTATGTTGTATATTTTTATTTATATATATGCTTGAAATATATAACCTTAAGTAAATTTCTTCTATTCGAAGTAAAAAAGATCTCCATTTGTAAAAACCCAGTTCCTAAGATAAAATATTTCAGTTAATATTTAAAATGCTATTCTATTTATAAAGCTCAGCAGTGCCATTCAGTTCACCTGAGTCCATGTCTAAATATATGAGGTAATTAAAGAAACTGAAGAATCCATTGAAATTAAATGCCAAGTAAGTATCACAAGGCTGAACAACAAAACATAAAAATATTTTGAAGCTTGGTGCAGTGGCTCACACCTGCAATGTCAGCATTTTGGGAAGCCAAGGCAGGAGGATCGGATCGCTTGAGTCCAGGAGTTTAAGACCAGCCTCGGCAATGTAGGAAAACCCTGTGTCTACAAAAAATAAAAATAAAAAAAATTTAGCTGGGCACACGCTTGTAGTCCCAGCTACTCAGGAGGCTGAGGTGGGAAGATCGCTTGAGTCTAGGAGAAGTTGTGGCTGCAGTAAGCTGTGATTGTGCCACTGCACTCCAGCCTGGGTGTCAGAGTAAAACCCTGTCTCAAGAAAATCAAAAACAACATTTTGAGATTTGTGTTCTTTTTTCTATTTTTAAGATTTCTACCTCCTAATGATGATTGTATAATAAATAATATTTATAAAATATTTTGAGTTATTGCATTTAAGAATGAAAAAAGGGCTAGGCACGGTGGCTCACACCTGTAATCCCAACACTCTGGGAGGCCAAGGCAGGAGGATCACTTGAGACCAGGAGTTCAAGACCAGCCTGGGCAACATAGTGAGACCACATCTTTACAAAAAATTTCAAAAATTAATTGGGTGTGGTGGCACAAGCCTGGAGTCCTAGCTACTCAGGTGGCAGGAAGATCCCTTGAGCCCAGAAGTTCAAGGTTGCATGAGTTATGGTCGTGCTACTGTACTCCAGCCTGGGTGACAGAGTGAGTCCCCTGTCTCTAAAAAATAAGAATTAAAAAAAAAAAGGATTTAGCATATTACTTTAAATCCTCTCTTTTTAGAAAAAAAATTACATACATACTATAACCAGTTAGAGATAAACAGCAACTGATCTAGACTAAAAAAGTTTATAGTTAGAAGAAACCTTTACCATTTTCTCATTCAGTTCCTTTCCTAGGTCAATGAAATATGAGTCCCAGAACAGTAAACTGACTTGCAATAATCAGATAATTGTTTAGGAATCAATAATAAAACTTCCTAAATCAATATAATTTTCTATATTATTCATCAATGAAGTTAAAAATCTTCATCTATGATGCAGTAAAATTTTAACTGTTTAGTTACACTTGAATGCAGCAAACAGTTTCCTTCTATCTTTGAATAACAGTAGAAGGAAGACACACTGGACTAGTAACCAATTCTAACTTCTCGGATATTTGTGCTATCTTAACTTCAGGCTCTCCTCTATAAAATTAATGCTTCATTAGATAATTTCTGAAGTTCCTTTCACCTCAGCAATTCTATGATTTTTAATATAAAAATTGCCCCTCTTACTCCCTAGCTAGACTATAAAAATTTTTAGGGGCAGGAATCATGTTTTATTCATTATGTACCTCCAAAAGTTGGCAGTGGCTGCCACTCCCTGCCCCAAAAAACTCTCAGTAAAATGTGTTGAGGTGAATTGGATATAATTTTCAAGGATACATCTTCTAAATTCCTAAGGTAAAACATGTTTCACTTATAAAATACCCAAAGTATAAAACAATTTTCGTAATCAAATTATTATGTAAAAATTCTGACAAAATAAAAGTGTTTCTCCCTTTCATATGGCAGTGAAATCCTTGTGCTAGATCTATGCCATGTGATAACTGTAGAAAGAAATACTATGAAGAAGAGGTCCCAAATTATGAGTTAGATAATTAAGTAAATAATGCATCTTAGGTAAGATGTAAATATACAAACACTGCCTATGAATCTCAGATGGACAATGAGAACAGATGGGGCACTGGGTACTAAATGACCATTTATATTCTTTACTTTATATTTCAATTCCTGGAAAGAAAAGTAGAACACTTAATAATTCAAAATTGAAACACCATTTGCCTTTCATAATAATCACACATCAAAATATTATCATGTCCCCAAACATGCCGTTCAAGCTTCAGCTACTTACTTGATGGCCCAAGGACATCTTTGCTATCACCAAGAAGCTTTTAAGGCAGGGTAATTGAGCAGCAAACAAATACAGTCCAAATCAGGAAGAAGCAAAATGCATCAGGACGGAAACAGCAGTGAAACAAAAGGACAAGGAAAATAGCATTAGTTTATAAGTAGAAAGCACATGCACATCAATAGTAATAACCGTAATAATTTACAAGAAACTTCCTTTTCCACACACAAAAAAAGATATTGGATTAAGCAGTATCAAATATTTGTTTTATCTTTAGAAAATGAAGGTGGTAAGAGAAAAATGGATCACCTAAGTATTTTGTTTTGAAAATTAAGTCAAAAATTACTTTCAATTACAATTCAAGATATGTTAGTAAAGGTAAAAATTACATAGAAATTTAAGAGACAGCCAAGTTATGCATTCCTTAAATTTAAGGTGGTTTAAAACTATATAACACCCATGCACTATTAAAGATTAGTTCTGCATGCCATGAAAGCACGTAACACTACAAAGAGATTTAGTATGTTTCTTCTACAAAAGAGTAAGGAACATTTATTGAGTGCTTGTTACATGCCAAGCATTGTGTGAAGAGCATCTACAGAGGCATCAACAAAGTAGAACAAATTCTTTCTCAATTGGCAAAAAAAAAAAAAAAAAGAGAAACATTAATTAGAAAGAAGTTTTACTAAGTCAGACAAACTTTTCTTAGGGCCCACTAAAAATCAAGCATAGTATTTGGAGCTAATGGTCTTTGGGAAGTCAGAAGACCCAACCCTTGAATGAAGAACTTGCAATCAACTAAAAGAAACAGGAAAAAGTCTGCTGACCTTTTGTTTAGTAACTATTTTAACATAAATTACTCTAAATGTTGCCCATGGACAAGTGCTTTGGTTCTGGTAGAAACAGAGTTCTCAGCTCTCCTTCATTTTAAATACCAAATGCAGTAACATACCAAAACAAATGCAGTAACAGAAACAAAAAGTTCCCAATAATTACATTATTTGTTGGTCTTAAAGAGACCTGAGGATCTTAATTGGCTGTGACAAAACAAGTTAGCAGTTGTTTGCTTTGGGCTTTTGTCACCTCCTTGAATAAAATCTTGGACCTATTCCTTCCCTAAGTGATGGCTTTTTACAATACTTGAAATGATCTTCTAATGCCTTGAAGGCATTTGCTCTATTCATGTTTGTGCAGTTTCCCATTTAATCTCATTCTTCTGGTTTTACAAACAAACTAAAGTTGGCAAAGTTATATTCTCCTGGGCTGAAGCAATCCTCCAGCCTCTGCCTCCCAAAATGCTGGAATTACTGATGTAAGCCACCACACCAGGCCCTAAATCACTTCTAATGAACAGAATACAGCCAAAGTGATGGGATGTCTCTTCTGGGATTAGATTATAAAGAGACTGTGACTCCCATCTTGCATGCAGTTTCTCAATCTCTTATAGATTACCCTGGGGAAAGCCAACTGTCACTTCATATGTCAGCCTTGTAGAGAGGCCCACTAGGTGAAAGAACTACGGTGTTAGTGAGGTCGGCAAACACCACTAAGTGAACTTGGAAGCAGATCTCCCACTCCACCCTCCATCCCCAGTCTTTCGTTTTTTGTTTTTTGAGGTAGAGTCTCGCTCTGTTGCCCAGGCTGGAGTGCAGTGGTGTGATCTCGGCTCACTGCAATCTCCACCTCCCGGGTTCAAGCGATTCTTCTGCCTCAGCCTCCTGAGTAGATGGGTCTACAGGCACCCAGCTAATTTTTGTATTTTTAGTAGAGACGGGGTTTCACCATGTTAGCCAGGCCAGTCTCGAACTCCTGACCTTCTGATCCGTCCACCTCAGCCTCCCAAAGTGCTGGGATTACAGGCATGAGCCACCGTGCCCGGCATAGTAAGTCTTTCAGTTGAGACTGCAGCAATGCCCAATCCCCACTATCCTGACTGCAACCACATGAGAGACTGAGTGAGAGACTTCTAGCTAAGCTACTCTTGGATTTTGATCCACGGAAATCTGAGATAATAAATGCTTGTTGTTTTATGCCACTTAATTTTTAGATAGTTTGTTGTGTACCAATAAATAACATAACACTGGAAAACTGGAAAAAAGTTAAGCTGACAGAAACAACTGTGGCAAACTTTACAAATGCTTCATAGACATCTTCTAAGATCTTCCTGAATTGATATAAATGATTGCATCGTTTCCCTAGATTTATCAGTAACTTCCTAAAGGAAAGCAGTGGTTCTAATTGTGTGTATACATGGCTGCGAGTATTTAATTTCACAAGGCCAGTCATGTTTGAAGGTTTTACAGTTCATCTTCTATTTAAAGATTAATAAGCTCAACTTTCATTGTACAGTTCTGTTATATTCTCATATTTTGTCAATTAACAGCACTATGTCAACTGCTATACAGCTGTACTCCTTACTTTTTTACTCCCAGAAAATAATCCTTAGCATATACAACTACTAAATATTTGCTCCAAAAATGTCCAAGCATGGTTAGTCTCGACATTATCCTCAAGCATGTCTGTGTCATACAAATCTGATTCTATTGGATCAATCCTATTTTTTTCAAGTTGAGGCACTGAACAATAATCAAAACAAACATCATCTTTTCCAATCATCCATTCATCCATTTAACAAATATTTACTTAGTAACTACTGCTGACATATATCACTTAGACACCAAGGGACATAGCAGTAAGCAAAACAGACAAAAATCCTGCCCTTGGTACTCATGTCCTAGTAAGACAGATGAACATTAACATAAAAAATGTTAAGTAAAAATTCATGGTATAATATATAGCATAAAAACTAGGGGGGGAAATAAGTAACAAATGGGAACACAAAAAATATTAGGGAAAGGGAGTTAAAATTTTAGATAGGTTGGCCTAAGAAGGCTTCAATACAGAGTTGACTGAATAAGATGAAGGAACCTGGCATAACAACATACAGGGTGAAAGTATGAAAGACAGAGGGAAGAGCAAGTGTACAGGATTATGATGCAAGCAAGTCTGGAATGTTTATGGAAGAGCACGAAGGCCAATGAGGCTGGAATGCAATGCAAAAATAGGAAAGTAGTAGGAGATGAGGTCAGAGGGGTAAACAGATGTCAGGTTGTATAGGACTTTGTAGGGTCTAGTCAAAACTTTGGTTTTATTTTGAATAAGATGGGGAACCACTGGATGGTTTTGAGAAGAGAATTGACACAGTCTGATTATGTTTTAACAGAATCACTCTGATTGCTATGTTGATAACAGACTAGAGAGACAAGGGTATAATCACTTAGGAGGTTACCACTATAATCTAGGAGAGGGGGAATCGTGGACCAAAGTGTTAGCAGTGAAGGTGATGAGAAGTAGCTAAGTTCCAAATATATTTTGAAAATAGAGCAAACAAGATTTCCAAATAGACCAAATGTGAGATAAAAAAGGCAGGAACAAAATGATGTCAAGTGTTGGGGTTTGAGCACCTGGAAGGATGGGACTTTCATTATCTGAGACAGAAAAGATAGTGAGAGCAGCTAGTTTACAGGAAGAAATATAAGGAACTCAGTTTGGGTCAAATTAAGTTTGAAATGCATGTCAGACATTCATCCAAGTGGAAATGTCAAGTAAGCAGCTGGATATATAAATCTGTATAGGGAAAGGTTCAGGCTGGTAAGAAAAATATAAATTATGTATGAGAGTTATGTTATATGACCTGAATGGCTTAATCATAAGAGACTGAAAAATGCCATGGGATAAAAGAACAGGCCCTAGAAAAACATATATTATAATGGACAACACAACTAAGAATCACACTCAAGCACTGCAAATGCAAAGCTGAAACACAATGAAAAATAAGCATGGCTTCAGAAAACTTCCTCAAAAGGATATGGATACAAAAGCACTGAACTGGGAGTCAAGTGAAATCATCCTTCCAGAGTTGCTTGTAAGTGATGCCAATGGGAAACAGGATATAAGTAATTGAGGATTACATATCAAATTTACAAAGTAACGTATACCACTGAAGTCTTCTGCACATGGCTAAACTGCACACTACTAATTTCTTATTCTTACCACTTCTAGGACCTGGGTCAAATTTGTATAGTACCATGTTGTATAACACATGAATAAAAACAATGTGAAATTATTGATGTGGAACCACTCTACACAATTAACTTGTACAATATTTAAAAAGTAAAATGCTAGGCGTTCTTCTTGGTTTTTGTTAAAGAACCTAAATAGAGCTAGAATCTCAGAGAATCCAAGAACAGCTTCTCAGTTTATTCAGAAAAAGGTCATCATGGGCGCCTTGTAGCCCCAGCTACATGGGAGGCTGAGGCAGGAGGACTGCTTGAGCCCAGGAGTTCAAGGCTGCAGTGTACCACGATCCATGATCGCACCTGTGAACAGCCACTGCACTCCAGCCTGAGCAACATAGTGAGACCCTGTCTCTAAAAAGCAACAGTTTCTCTAATTGACTCCATTTGAGTATGTTATTGTTTACCATTGTCCCACAGACAATGTCCACACAGTTATCTAATTTTGTTATAAGTACATCGATAAGATATATCAGTAATAAAAGTTTCAGACATACTATCAAAGTATTTAAAAGCATGAAATATTTATAGCCATTACCCAAATATTTACTAATTTTAGTCTATAAATCTCAGAAATAGTGCACAATGCAAAAAAAAGTGATTTTATTTTATTGTATGTCTAAATATTTGCCACCTCATCTATAATTAGCATTAAACAAGCAATCTTGAGGGTATATAAACATCTTCATCCTGGGAAACTTCTCAGTCTCAAATAAACCACACTGGAAGGCCACCCTAATAATAATGAAGTAATCCCACGCAATCTATAGTTTTGATTCCATCCCTTTGGCACAGCACTTCCCTCTTAATATACATCACGGCTTGATTTAAGTCATCTGACTCATGACAAAGAGCTCATCAAGCACTGATGTAGCTGTTGGCACCTTTTCACCCAATAAAGTTGATCAAGTTGCTACAGAAGCAATCCTACTGCAGCTGGCTCCAAGAAACTACAATTCAGAAAGAGTATACAAAACATCTGAAGAGTGCTCTATTTAGCGTTATCATAGGCCCTTAGAATAACAAACTTCAGAGAGAGCTATATAGTGCAGCTGAGAACTGTCTGTTCTTCGAACAGGAGTCATCACTCTACACTTAGCTGAATTTTTAATATTCCTGTAATCATCTGCAAAATATACTTGTGCACATTTTACCCTTGAGTTTCATGGGAGAGATTTTAAAGGAGTATTTGTCTCGGAACTACAGCTTATCACTGTTGGATAAAGAATATTATCTGGCCTGCCAAGCAGATATTTAAAAATAACCTAATCGCACATTTGATCCAGCAATTCCCCTCCTAGGAATATTAATAAGGGGATCATACAAAATGTTCAAAAAGCTGTGTCTGGCCAGGTGCAGTGGCTCACGCCTGTAATCCCAGCACTTTGGGAGGCTGAGGCGGGCAGTTCACAAGGTCAGGAGATTGAGACTTTCCTGGCTAACAAGGTGAAACTCCGTCTCTACTAAAAATACAAAAAATTAGCCGGGCGTGGTGGCGGGCGCCTATAGTCCTAGCTACTCAGGAGGCTTAGGCAGGAGAATGGCATGAACCCGGGAGGCGGAGCTTACAGTGAGCCAAGATCACGCCACTGCACTCCAGCCTGGGCGACAGAGCAAGACTCCGTCTCAAAAAAATAAAATAAAATAAAATAAAAATAAAAAGATGTGTCCACGGATATTTACCACAACACCATTTACAGTAATCTAAAGAAGTAACCTGTTTCAAACAGGGTAATAAAATACCTTCACACAATGAAATAGCAAGCATGTAGTCATTAAAGTTTCTTTTTCCAGCCAGGTGCAGTGGCTCACACCTGTAATCCCAGCACTTTGGGAGGCCAAGGTGGGAGGATCACTTGAGGTCAAGAGTTTGGGACCAGCCTGGCCAACATGGTGAAACCCCGTCTCTACCAAAAATATAAAAATTAGCTGGGTGTGGTGGTACACGCCTGTAATCCCAGATACTCTGGAGGCTGAGGCAGGAGAATTTCTTGAACCCGGGAGGTGAAGGTTGCAGTAAGCCGAGATCACACCACTGCACTACTGGGCAAAAGAGCAAGACTCTGTCTCAAAAAAGAAAAAAAAAAAGTTCATTTTTCCACCTACTAAAAAAATCCATTATATATTGGCTTTTAAAAGTAGGTTATAAAGAAGCTTGTATGATATGACCCTACTTTTATAAATTTTCTTATACACATACAAACTTACGAAAGATGCCACCAAAATATCAACAGTAGTTAACTTTAGGAGGTAGGATTTTACTTATATTTTTCTGTATTTTTTAAATATGGCATACTAGTATGCATTATTTTTATAGTCAAAAAAGAACTTATTTACATTTTGAAAAAAATATAAAGTTTTTAACTGATATTTTTCAATCTACACTAGCTTATTTCTTATTATGACATAATTATCTATGATTAAGTATAGTGGGAAGTACATTTTAAGAATCCAACTTGAAATCCTAAAAAGATGCAAAAATGTTAACATGTCCCACACAGCACCACATATTACTCACTGTCTCTTGAACTTCAGCAACTTCTGAATATGGCAATATCTAAAAAGAAAACAAATTTTCTTGGGAGTGATTTAATCTCATATACTTAAATCTGAATCTAGAGAGCACCCAGAATTTATCAAATAAATTAAGCGGTGCAATAATCTTTTAAGTAATAGTTATTTTTCAAAAGGTGCAATATTACTTCTACACTGAAAATTGAACCCTTTTTTAAAAATCTTTTTCCAGGCTGGGCGCGGTGGCTCATGCCTGTAATCCCAGCACTTTAGGAGGCCGAAGCGGGTGGATCATTTGAGGTCAGGAGTTCGAGAACAGCCTGGCCAACCTGGTGAAACGTCGTATCTACTAAAAATACAAAAAATTAGCCAGGCATGCTGGCAGGTGCCTGTAATCCCAGCTACTTGGGAGGCTGAGGCAGGAGAATCGCTTGAACCCGGGGGCGGGGGCGGAGGCTGCAGTGAGCCAAGATTGCACCATTGCACTCCAGCCTGGACAAGAACGAAACTCTGTCTCAAAAAAAAAAAAAATCTTTTTTTAATCCTGAGTCATCTGGAAATTACAGTTAATTTGCCAACCTGTGGAGTCCTCTCTGGCATTGGCCTGGTAGTTTTTCACACTTTATATCCTTCCTTTATGTATTTAAAGTCTTCTTTAAATGTATGTATCAGTCTTCTTTATGTATGTATCAGTCTTCTCATGTAAGCCTCTTTTGGTTTCTAAGAATACTCCTCTGCTCTGGCTTCCCTTCTATTTTCCTGCCTCCACACATTGTCCTCCCATTCAGCAAGTGAATGGCCATTACCAGTGCTCAGCTTCAACTATTTGTTGTTCTTCCTCTACCTGCTCTTTTCCTGCAGGTTCCATTGATGCTCAAGGCTCATTTATCACCTATATTCAGATAACTTCCTAGTTTCTTCTTCATACCTAGCATATCTCCAAAACTTCAAAACATTTCTACCTATATGTTTGGACATTATTGCATATTAATTTCTAGTTCTAAAATTATGTTAACAAAGGAAGGGCTTTACATCTTTGTATCAGAGATAGTAATCAGCTTTCTCTCAGAAACCAGCTTCCACACTGATTTGCCCATCTTTCTTTCAAACACTCAGGCATAAACCCTTGATTCCTCTGAGACATTTCCCCCAACATCTGATTAAATTATTAAATTCTGATTTTTTTGCCTCTATGGTGCCTATTTCACATTCAGTCTTTTTTTTTTCACTTCCCATTAGTGCCCCCTATGTCAGACCCACATCACCTCATGTGTCAACTTCTGCATCTCCCTTTTGGTAGATGTCCCTGCATGCAGTCTCAGCCCACTCATTCATTTACTATGCTACATACCAGAATTTAAAAACATGATAAAAACATAGTCCCTACTGCCAAGATCACCATACACAGAAGACAGTATGTATTACGGTTTATTCAACACTAAGATAAGTGATCTCCAGTCTACCCAACATTACCCATTCTTCAGGCTATCCCATCATTAGCATGCCACTTAACTTCTTTCTGTGAGGTTTCTTTTTCTCCTTTGTAAATGCACTAATTATTAAACCTTCCAAATTTCTAGAATTGTTATGAGGCTTAATAATAGTTTACCTGAGTATTGTATATAAATTTGTTTTGAAAATCAGTATATAGACATAAGGCAGAATTACTTATTATTAAAACAAATGACAAAGACTAAGAAAGGACCTAGAAAAAAGTGATTAATTTACCAACTTAATTTTCTAGGCAGTCACTCTGGCCTCATTTCTCCTCCACTAAAGAACATCTGGTGGCACCCTATTCTTTTAAAAATAAACCCCAAACACTGATAGTTAAAATATTTTACAATTTGGCCCAATTATCCATCCCACAGAAATAATGATTTTCTATGAGATGGTCTCACATCTCCACTTAACTCAAACTCCACTTAGCTAAAATTCTGTCTAGTAAAACTGATTGCTTAAAGTGATCTGTAATTTTCTCCCTACTTTGTTTCTGCTTTCCTACTCAATAGCTTGAAATTTTTATATGTATTTTCTGTCTTTCTCCACTCAAATGTTAGCTCCACTGGAGTGGGAATTTTGTCTATTTTGTTCACTGCAATATCTCTTAAAACTAGAACAGAGCTTTGCGCCATAGCAGACACTCAACAAACCCCTCACCTTGAGAGCTCAAATTGCCAATTCTGCTACCTATGTTCAAGCTAAAGTTATCGTTCTCCAACTCTGACTTTCTAATGTGAATTCTTTGATAATTCATAATTATCTCACAGTATTGTCTCTCTTGCCATACAAATAAATAAATAATTCAATTGTTATTTAACTTTTCTCCACCATTATAATGGTCTAGTACAGTGCTGTCAAATAGAACTTTCTACGACGATAGAAATAGTGTGTATCTGTAATGTCCAACAGGGTAGCTACTACCTACATGTAGCTATTGAAATCTTGAAATGTGGCTAGTAAAACTAAGGAAGAACTTTTAATTTAATTAGGTTAACTTTAAATTAGTCACATGTGGGAAGTGGCTATACTATCAGACAACTCAGGTCTAGCACAATCTTACCTTTCCCTAGCTCACCTAACACTGACCACACCTCTAGCATTTGCCACTGCTGACCACTCCTTTTCTGAAAACTCTGTCCTCTCTTAGTTTCCAACCTATTTTCTCTTTCTCCTCCCTCTCTCTGCATCCTAGAATCTCTTATTTCCATTCAACATGATTTCCCCATGTGATTCCATTGACTTGATTTTTTAAAGAGCTCAGTTCACTAACTCCCCAAATCAGTTTCCTACCTTAACCACTCCTGAGCTGCAGACCCTCAAGGCCATTCCAATGATTCTCCTGGTGAATTCATTCTTCTTATATAAAGCATGACATCCTTGATAAGGGATTTCCTGACCTCCCACTGCAGGCATAACAAATAGATATTCCATCTGTCTTGTCACTGCATCTTTCTATTATCAGGTCGGATTGCAGGGGAGAGCCCACAGAGCTCCATGTGTTCCTAGCAACACTGACTCTGTACCTCCACCTTCCTGAGTAGGAGGAAAGACCCTTCACTCACCCTTTCCCACAACCCCAAACGCTTACAGACTAACCACCGTCTGCCCAACAGATATGCAAGCTTTACACTCAGTTCTTATTTTTTGCCTAGAAAACTTCCTTTAGGATTCTGCTCAAAAGCTACTTCATCACAATACTTCCATAATATTCCCAAAACAGCAATCATCCCCTATTTTGTTACTCTCTATCCTTCTTACCCTGCTTTATTTTTCGTCACAGCAATCATCTCGTAACACAGTTCATATTTATATATTTTTTCTTTCTCTACTGAAATGTTAGCTCCACTGAAGTGGGAATTTTGTCTATTTTGTTCACTGCTATATTCCTTAAAACTAGAACAGAGCCTGGCACCATTGTGGACACTCAGCAAATACTGAATGAATAAAGACAAGAAAAGAAAAAAAAAAGGCTTAGTGATTATAACCCTAATACCTAGCAAAGTCTTTGGCCATCTGATAAGCCCAAATTCCATCACTAAGAATTCCCTCATTCTTTTCCTTAAATAGTTCTGTCCTGCATAAAATAACATTGTTACAGATTCACTATCAGTTTTTGGTAATGAAACATGAATTACATTTCTTCTGGCACTGGTGGTCTCTTGCCATGATTAATCCAACCTCCTTTATCAAGGTCTTCACATACAAGAGAAGCTCAAAATTAACCAATATGATTTTCACTTGTAACTAATGGCATGCATCTGGTGAGACTGCTGGCGGACTCTGTGGTTAGGAAACCAGAAAAACTTTACTGCCCACTAAAAGAATTAAAGCTATAACCTTGAGCTTTGACTTCATTAACATTTTCCTCTAAATCTGGCCTAACGAGCCACAGTTGCCTGAAAAGGTTATGAAATAGCACAACCGAAACCATATTATCACATCATAATCATGCCAGGTGATATGAGAACTGGTTATATGAGACAGCATATACATGAACATTTCAGTGTCTGATGCTTCATCTTACGACCTGTTTCACGCATTTCAATTGTCAATCTGAAATAAAAGCATCTTACTTGAAATTTCATTTTGGCCAATTCTTTGCATGCTTATATAGAGATATGTGAGCCTACATTCTAGATTAAATCATGACTGAGATCTAAATTAAGACATAAGAGCTGCAAAAAAATACCTTCATTCCTTCTAGATTTCTATTCCATTTCTAACAAATCACTGATTAGTATATCACACTGCACAGCATCAAGCCACAGGCAAGACTGCTAATAATAACATGGAAACGTCAACCCCCATGACTCATCAATCTACCACACATAAGAATGCAGTTAGCAACTGTTCCTCATGTCTCTGCAACTACATGGTGCTCAAATGTCAAAATATTCAGCCTAGATAGAAAAGTCAAAATTATTAATAGTTACAGGAAAATAAAGCTTTGGATTAAATAAAACAGATCACGTATCACATATTTTTCAATGTATACCAAAAATTATATTAGGTAATGAATATAAAAACTAATGAATATAACAACTTTAAAAAGATGCTTAAAAGTCTAGGTGTAATATAGATGAGTTTATAACCCAAAAAAAAGCCCTCTCTTTCAATAAGAATAAGAGAATTAGAATATTTACATTTAGATCCTAGTGCTGCCCACTGTCTGGCTAACTGACTTTATGCAAATTACCCTTTCAGAGCCTCGGTTTCTTCATCTCTTAAAAACAGAGTAACATCTACCTTACAGTATTATAGAAAGGATTAAATGAGAAACTGTATGGGACACCAAGCCTCTGTACACCTCCACTTGGATACACATCTCAAACTCAGTATGTCCAAAACCGACTTCATCTTCCCTTTCTCTGCCCCTGCTCTTCTTCCTATATTTTCTCCCTTAAGGAATGGTACCTCCCACCAAATCACACAACACAGAAACCTGTAAGTCGCTCTAAATTTCTCCTTCACTTTTATTTTCCTCATCTATATTCTCCTCCACTCCTAATATTAAGTCCAGGACAAGGTCCTAAAGCTCTACGTAGTCTCTCATATTTACCCTTTATTTCTCATATCCACAGTTACTGCTACTACCTGCCACCTGAATTTCTTACACTTAAGCAATTTATCTTCCATACCGATATCATAGAGAGCCTTCTAAAGTTGTTCAACAACATGGTTGAGTCACTTCAATGATTCTGCACTCCCACAGCCTACCAAAATTGGAGAGAAAAACATTTAACCCCATCTTCAAGGCTCTTCACAATTTTGTCAATCTTATGTCATGCATTCCTCCAAACACCCATCAATCCTACACTTCACAAATGTGACAAACTGAAAATGACTTTCACTTCTTCAAACATACCATGTTGTTGAACAATTTACTTGTTACTCTCACAGCTCCTTTTGCCTACAATGCCATTCTCACCTTCACCAGGCAAATACCTAAGTTCCTTTCAACACTCAGGTTAAGCATTACCTTGTCTTAAAAAACTTTTTTGATACTGACTTTTCAACTCCACTCAAATAACTGACTCTTCTGATCCCCTCTGCATCGTATATGGTCATCTATAACAATGTTATCTCATCCAGTATGAATTAACGCTAAACACATAATGCCCTAAAACTCATAGAAAGAAAATGTAATTCGATATGCAAAGGCCTGAGTTCAAGTCCTGACTCCATCGTCTACTTGTCGTATAGCTCGGGAAAAGCTATATAATTTCTCTTTATCCCAGTTTCTGCATCTGTAAGATGAGGATACCACCATCTTAACATCATTTTTAAGATTCTACATGTTTAATATATGTAAAATTGGTCTTTAGTATCTTCCTGAAACCACACATCCAATCAATCACCAGGTCCTGCTGATTTGCATCTCTAATTCCTTCCACATATTTTCTATTCTGCTACCACTACTGTAGGGACCAGCCCCACAGGGTCGGTGGGTTTTTCTCCCTGTGTGTGGAGACAAGATATTGTAGAAATAAAGACACTAGACAAAGAGATAAGAGAAAAGACAGCTGGGCCCGGGGGACCACTACCACCAAGACGCGGAGACTGGTAGTGGCCCCGAATGCCAGGCTGTGCTGATATTTATTGGATACAAGACAAAGGGGCAGGGTAAGGAGTGTGAGCCATCTCCAATGATAGGTAAGGTCACGTGGGTCACGTGTCCACTGGACAGGGGGCCCTTCCCTGCCTGGCAGCTGAGGCAGAGAGAGACAGGGAGAGAGAGAGACAGCTTACACCATTATTTCTGTATATCAGAGACTTTTAGTATTTTCACTAATTTTGCTAATATTATCTAAAAGGCAGAGCCAGGTGTACAGGATGGAACATGAAAGTGGACTAGGAGCATGACCACTGAAGCACAGCATCACAGGGAGACGGTTAGGCCTCCAGATAACTGTGGGCAGGCCTGACTGATGTCAGGCCCTCCACAAGAGGTGGAGGAGTAGAGTCTTCTCTAAACTCCCCCGGGGAAAGGGAGACTCCCTTTCCTGGTCTGCTAAGTAGCAGGTGTTTTTCCTTGACACTGACGCTACCGCTAGACCATGGTCTGCTTGGCAACGGGCGTCTTTCCAGATGCTGGCGTTACCACTAGACCAAGGAGCCCTCTGGTGGCCCTGTCCGGGCATAACAGAAGGCTCACACTCTTGTCTTCTGGTCACTTCTCACTATGTCCCCTCAGCTCCTATCTCTCTGTGTGGCCTGGTTTTTCCTAGGTTATGATTATAGAGCGAGGATTATTATAATATTGGAATAAAGAGTAATTGCTACAAACTAATGATTAATGATATTCATATATCATTATGTCTATGATCTAGATCTAGTATAACTCTTATTGTTTTATATATTTTATTATACTGGAACAGCTTGTGCCCTCGGTCTCTTGCCTGGGCACCTAGGTGGCTTGCCACCCACACACTACCATAGAAGTTTTAATTGCCTTTTATCTAGATTTCACAACAGCATGCTAACTTGTTCCCTGAACTAACCACCTCTATTTCTATGGTTTTCAACCTTAGATGCACATTGAAATCAACTAAGGGACTTTAAAAGGTACTAATATACGCAACTCACCCTCTGAGATTCTAATTCAATTGAATAGGAATGTAGCTGTACATCAGTTTTTCAAAACATCCCAGATAACTCTAACATTCAACTGGTTGCCCCCAATACTCCACAATTTTGCCATGCTGATATTCCTAAACCACAACTCGAACAGGTTGGTTCCCTGCTCCAAAATCTTCAACAATTTCATACTGTGTTAACAACAAAGATCCCAAACAGTAAAAGTAGTATTCAAGGCCCTGTATGATCTGATTCAAAGAGACGCAATATAGGAAAGTGATTAAAGGTTCACCCCTGGAGCCAAAATGTATCCCAGCTCTGCTACTTACTAGATGTGTGTCCTTGTCTCTGTATCCTTGTAATTCTATCTATCTCATAGGGTTATTTTAAAGATTAAATGAGTTTATGGGCAAGGCATTTTGAATAGCTGGCGGCACACAGTAGAAATTTAATAAACATTAGTCATTATTCATTTCTAATAGCTTTATTTCCTACTAATTCCCCTAATGCAGCCAACAGTTTTACCCATAAGACCTAAATAAAACCTGCTCTAAACACAGTATAGGCATGAACCTAGGAAGGTACTATGTGTAGAATGTGCTTAATGAAGGTAGGTTAGTTTGCTGAACCCAATAAATGTTTAAATAAAATAAAATAAATTTAAAAAACATAAAAATTTTTTAAGTATTTTGATTTAACGTCCAACCAAATCTCCACTTGTCTGTCTAGTGACAGTAGAACAATGAAGGGATTTTTATCCATACCTCAACTTAGTAGGTTTTCATTAACTTGTGACTGCTTCAGAAGTCAACTTAAGTTTAATAGGGTGAAAACAGCAGCAATGGAGCAAGAGCAAGCTTGGGATGGGGGGATAAATTTATATATACGCACTTGTGTATGTACACACATACATATATATATATAATTTAATTTTGTGTGTATATGTATAAAAATAATATTAATCTTTTTGGGGGGAGGCAGAGTCTCACTCTGTTGCCCAAGCTGGAGTGCAGTGGCATGATCTTGGCTCACTGCAGCCTCAACCGCCAGGGCTCTAGTGATCCTCCCACCTCAGCCTCTTGAGTAGCTGGGACCACAGGCACATGCCACCATGACTGGCTAATGTTTTTTATTATTTGTAGAAACAAGGTCTCACTATGTTGCCCAGGCTAGTCTTGAACTCCCAGGCTCAAGCAATCCTCCTGCCTCAGCCTCCCAAAGTGCTGGGATTACAGGCGTGAGCCACTGCACCCAGCCCGAAATTAAATTTTATGTCTATATGTATGTGTGTACACAGACAAACACATGCATATAAATTCATCACCCAATCCCCAAGCTTGCTCTTGCTCCATTGCTGCTATTTTCACCCTATTAAACTTAAGTTGACTTCTGAACCGGTGACTTTTGAAGCAGTCACAACTTAATGAAAACCTACTAAGCTGAGGTACGGATAAAAATCTCTTTATTGTTCTACTGTCACTAGAAAGACAGGTAGAGATTTGGTTGGACTTTTAACCAAATTTTATCTTCACATATCTCCAATATGCTGAAATTTGAATCCTTCACATTTCTTTCTGAGGTTTTATGGGACTCCCATGAATTTTTTTTATTTTAATCTTAAATTTAAGATTCTTAACATACACCATTTTAATTAAGAGTTAAATGTGGAGCTGTGGGTGTCTAAGCTTTAATTATATCCTACTTATGAGAAGCTCTGGCATGTCTTAAAACTTGGGAGAAAGAGCAAATGACAATACTTTTAAAAAACCTTCATATGTTTAAAAGCTAAGTAGTTGCATTATTTATGGATACTGAAGGAAATAATAAGTATTTAAAGCCAGTTCTCCTCCCAAAGTCTAGATTAGCAAAACAAATAGCTTTGACTATTCTCCTGTTAAATAATTTCACTGTCTACACTGAGTAAATGACACAGTCTGTTTTTTCAGGTGGTCCCTTAATAGTTCTATTTTTTAATTTTTAAACTGTGTATCACATGTGACAAAGATCTTAATATGAATTAACTGTGCAACAGTTCTGTTCTTTTAAATCTCTGGTCCACTTTCAGCCTCTCTATACACAGAGAATGCAAAGCCAATAAAGAAGAAGCCAATTGCTTTTGCAAGTAAGAACTGAATTACTAGTGAGGTAACAAGTCCCCACCCGACCCTAGCCCCTGAACCCGTCCCTGGAGATGGAGAAAGTGGAGTATCACAGATAAAGGAAAGGCCAGGAGAAGGGAACAGGAGGAAGGGTTGGAAGCCAGCCATCTTTCTATGCTCTTTTCTCTCTAATCATTGAACACCCTGTTTTTACTATGAGCACAAAACATGATTTAATTCCAAACAGAGGCATTAAACACAGTCCTAAGTAAGCATTTTTGCTTTTAAACTGTGCGTGTACACACATGCAGTACTGTTGCAGTACACACATACCAAATGCAGGCAGAGAGGCCAACTACTACCGTCCACTGCGCTTTCTCTCAAATGGGCTGTTTACAACTGAGGAGACAGTTTATGGATAAGAAGTGTGCTCAGAACAGAGATAAAGAAAAGTTCCCTAAGAAACAGAATATATAAGCAACTGGGGAAATGAGGTGGAAGCTATGATTTTAATAAAAAAGATTCTCTACCCTAAGACATGTATTCTCTAGATTGACCAAAATGGTGAAAAGTTAGTCCCTGGGCTCTTACCTTTCTATGTAGGACAGTATCAGACAAGGCAGTAATATTCCCAGAAGAATATTATTAAGAGAATATAAGCTCACAAACAAAAATAATATTCTAAGGAGCCCAAGTGCTGTGAAAGACAACAAACTGAACAATCTTGGTGAAAGAAAAGAAAATCAGTGAACCAAACTAATCAAGAACTTAATAAACATGTTTAAAAAGATAAATGAGGATATTATAAAACTGAAGCATGAACAAGCAAATATTTTTAAAGCCGATAATACTGGGTATAAAAATATTATAGAGAAATAAAATATAGTAGACTTGAAAAGCAAAATGAATATGATCCAATAATAAATTAATGAGCTAGAAGAATGATCAAGTAATTCAAAAAGAAGTCATCAGGAAGAAAAAAGATGGAAAATATACATAAGTTAAGCAAGATGAAAGAATGAAACAGAAGTGCCACATTCACAAAATAAGAGATGCAAAAGGAAGGCATAAAAGATTTAAATAGTAACAGAACACTAAATTTTAAATAATTCTGAAAACCTACACAGAATGAATACCTTTCTAGAAAAGACTTCCCAAGTCTCATCGCCAGACATACATTCATAAAACCACAGACTCAACTGTATAAGGAATGGAAGAAAAAGGGAAAAAAACCTATTATTTGCAGATGATATGAATCAGACAAAATATTAAAACTAATGAAAAGTAAGCAGACATTCAACAAATATCTGTTAAATGACCAAATGAGAAAAGAAAGAAACAAAGTCAAAAAACTGCTGAAAGGTAGAGGTCCTGTCTCAACATAAAGCAGAGTTATAAAAAAGCCAGAGTTTATCTTGGTATCACTCCCTTATTCTTAAAGGCCCTGTCAATTCTTTCTTCTACTCTCCCACCCCCAAACCTCATCTTCTTGGTTCCTTTTGTCATATCAGGCAGCTGTCAATTATTCTTTCTTTAAGTGTTAGTTGCTTAAGGCTTAGATGACCAACTCAAACTTTTGGGTCTCGAGTTTCCTTTATACTCTTAGAAACTGTTGAAGACTCCAAAGAGCTATTGTATATGTGGATTATGCCTAGTAATATTTTCTGAATTAAAAACAAATTTAATGGGAAATTTACTAACCACCTCAGCCAGGTGATCACAGTCAACAGCAAAAATAAGTTATGCTGACAGAATATACCCTTGGTATGATGTGATGAAAACGGCACTTTATCTCTGTGGTCTTCCTTCTCAAAATCCATTAAACTTAGTCTAATCATGAAAAACATATCAAACAAATTCCAGTTCAGGGATACTATGTAAAATAACTAACCAGTAGCCCTCAAAACAGTCAAGGTTCATTCAAAACAAAGAAAGTCTGACACACGGTCATAATCAAGAAGAACATGAGGAAACACGAGAACTAAATGTAACGTGACGTCCTGAATTGGATCCTGGAACATAAAAAGGACATTACGTAAAAACTAAGTAAATCTGAATCAAGTATGGATTTCTGTTAATAATGTATCAACATGAGTTCATCAATTATATCACATGTACCACACTAATATAAGATGTTCCTAATAGGCGAAGGGGGGGTACAACATATATGGGAACTCTATTATCTTTACAATTTTTCTGTAAACCTAATACTGTTCTAAAACAAAGTTTATTTAAAAATATATATATCTTAGAAAAAATTAAACTAAAAAAAAAAAATTGAAAACAAAAGAATTCATGGCCGGGCATGGTGGCTCACACCTGTAATCCCAGCATTTTGGGAGGCTGAGGAGGGTGGATCACCTGAGGTCAGGAGTTTGGGATCAGCCTGGCCAACATGGTGAAACTCCATCTCTACTAAAAATACAAAACTTAGCCAGGCATGGTGGTGCGCCTGTAATCCCAGCTACTCCGAAGGCTGAGGTAGAAGAATTGCTTGAACCTGGGAGGCAGAGGCTTCAGTGAGCTGAGACTGCGCCTCTGCACTCCAGCCTAGGCAACAGAGCGAGACTCCATCTAAAAAAAAAAGAATTCACAAACACACCCTCCGGTAGCCACCAGAGCAATGACATCATGTTTTATGTGGTCTCTGGAAAGTTCTACTGTGCCCTCATGAGGATAAAAAAGACAAATAATATAAAGTACCATGGTATTATTACAAAAAAAAAATAATTTTTACCCCTCACAGATTCTCTGAAAGGGTCTTAGAGAGTCTCAGAGTCCTGGGAACCCACTTTAAGAAAATCTCCAAGAATAATAGAAACACAAAAGATGTGTGGCTGGGAATTCTGCTGTTACATTCTGTATGCCACTGGTTATTTCTCTTTCTTTTAAAAAGCTAACGCTTTCTCCAATGAGGCTCCCCAAATTTACTACAGAGTCCAATTATATACCTGAATGATTTTTACATTACTCAAGCCTCTAACAAGAATAACCATCTAATAAGGTAAGAAAAAAAAAAAGAAAAACGATATAATGAGATGCAATCTTTAGTACTCACACAATAGGTAATACTGAGCAATATATTCACACTTAGGAAGTTCAAACAATTACAAATATTTAAGTACTGCTAACAAAACTTTCAGAAGTTAAAGTAATGGAGATGTAAACAAAGTGTAACAGGCCGGGCACAGTGGCTCACACCTGTAATCCCAGCACTTTGGGAGGCCGAGGCGGGTGGATCATGACGTCAGGAGATCGAGACCATCCTGGCTAACAGGGTGAAACTCCGTCTCTACTAAAAATACAAAAAATTAGCCGGGTGTGATGGCAGGCGCCTGTAGTCCCAGCTGCTCGGGAGGCTGAGGCAGGAGAATGGCATGAACCCAGGATCATGCCACTGCACTCCAGCCTGGGCGACAGAGCGAGACTCTGTCTCAGTATAACAAAGTATACCTATCAAATTATTTTGACCTTTTCTAAATGTCTCCCTTTAATAGAAGTTTCAATAAAGCTATAAAGTGGCAAAAGACAAAATACCTAACAAAATGTAGATTGGATTGTACATTTTAAAATAACTAAATGAGTATAATTGGATTGTAACACAAAGGATAAAAGCTTAAGGGGATGGATACCCCATCATCCATGTGATCATTACGCACTACACGCCTGTATCAAAACATCCCATATATCCCATAAATATATCCACCCACTACATGCACACAAAATTTTTTTAAAAATTAAAATAGAAGATTTTTATTGCATTAAAAAAATGTATGTTGATTGGTTTGCTTGCTCAAAAGGTACAGACTAGTCATAATCATTCTTTCCAGCCTCCACTTTTCTAACCCAATTAGAATTCTAATGTATACCACTATCGAAATAACAGATCTAGGCAATGAACATCAATGGTTGCTATTACCACATAAAGAGAGAGAATCAGACATTATGTGCCTCCTGACGGTTACATACAACACCATTTATACATCATTATTGTCAAAAAAAATTTGAACCTTGATCTGTGCAAGCCTCTAATTCTAACAACCAACTTGCAGGAAATATAAGGGACTGATGAACACCTTAAACATCACCATGAGGGGAAAATTCATATTGTAGAAAACTCCACAGAATAAACCATCGTGTTTTTTCAATAAATTGAAAGGTAAAAATTAACAGATATCGGAGAGATTTAAAAGATTCAAAAAGACTTGTGACTTATCAACTAAGTCCAACACAACAACCTACTATAAAAAGAATATGAGAGGCCGGGCGCGGTGGCTCATGCCTGTAACCCCAGCACTTTGGGAAGCCGAGGCTGGCGGATCACCTGAGGTCGGGAGTTCAAGACCAGCATAACCAACACGGAGAAACTCTGTCTCTACTAAAAATACAAAAATTAGCCGGGCATGGTGGCGCATGCCTGTAATCCCAGCTACTCGGGAGGCTGAGGCAGGAGAATCGCTTGAACCCAGGAGGCAGAGGTTGCAGTGAGCCGAGATCGCACCATTGCACTCCAGCCTGGGCAACAAGAGTGAAACTCCATCTCAAAAAAAAAAAAAAAAAAAAAAAAGAATATGAGAGAACTAGGGAAGTGTAGGCACTGAATAATTATCTGACTAAAGAGTTATTAATTTTTAGGAATAATGTATTTATGATCAAAGTTTTAAAGTCTTTATATTTTGGAGATATATACGGACAGTAAATACTTATGAATACAATGATTTATCTAAGATTTGTTCAAAAACTCTGGCTTAGGAAGGTGGGAGTATAGATGAAACAATGTCAATCCAAGTTGATAATTGTTGAAGATGAGTAATGGGTATATTGGGATACGTTCTACTACTCCATTTCAGTTCAAGAATAACTTCTATTAACAATCTTGTATGTATGATTAATACAAACTGTTAGAGTTAGCAAGCAGCTGTTGGGAAGATGAAGTTATTTTAACATGAGAAAATAAGAATGTAAGTAATAAACTAGTGACTAAAATCTTCACAGTTATTTTAACTTTACATAAGGAGATCCCTGCAACTTAAGAATTTTCATTATTTAGGACTTCAATCTAGCTGGCAACTCCTCGGGTGAGATGCCTGGGCAGACCACAGACTTTGGGTTATCCAACAACAGGACCCACTTCCAATAGGTTAGGTTACTCCAGAGGTTAATACTGGCTCTGGAGGAAAGAATAATGGCCTCCCAAAGATGTCCACACCCTAATCCCTGGAAGCTGTGAATGTTACCTTCTGTAGTGAAAGGGGCTCTGCAGATGTGATTAGGTTAAGGATCTTGATATAGGGCAGTTATCTGATTTTCTGAGTGGGTTATGTAACTGAGCTCAATGTAGTCATAAGTATCCTTATAAGAGGAAGCAAGAGGGCCTAAATGAGCAGCAGGGCATGTGATAACAAAAGACAAAGGTTGAAGTGATACAAGGAAGGGGCCATGAGCCAAAAAAAATGAATGCATTCTCTAGATACTGATAAAAGCAAGAAAATGGATTCTTCCCTCAGAGTCTTCAGAAGGAAAACAACCCTGCTAACACTTTGCTTTTAGATTTCTGACTTCCAGAACTGCTAAGAGAATAAATTTGTGTTGTTTTGAGCCTCTAAATCTGTGGCAATTTGTTACAGTCGCAATAGGATAAGAGCACAATGACCAACGGTAAAATTTAAAGAAGTGCTATTGTACAACAATACTTTCAGAGGATTAGTAATTGGCATATGGATAAATTATCATTAAACTTGAATGCACAAATGCCTTAGAGGCCAATTATTGGGAAGTTGTACATAAAAAAACTATTGTTGTTACAGCCTGGGAAACATAGCAAGACCCTGCGTCTATTAAAAAAAAATTTAGAAATTAGCCAGACAGAGTGGGGCAGGCCTGTAGTCCAAGCTACTCTGGAGGCTGAGGTGGGAGGATCACTTAAGCCCAGGAATTCAAGGCTGCAGTGAGCTAGGATCACACGACTACAGTCCAGCCTGGGCAACGGAGCAAGACCCTGTCTCTGCCAAAAATTTAAAAATAAAAAAAATGTGAATACTATTGTTAGAAAGATGCTATCACTAATACCACATAATACACTAAATCAATAATCATAATAATGAAGTTAATTTAATAGTATTTATAACAGGACAAAAACAGCAATATTTAAAAACTGTGACCCACTCAAAATAATACTTGCTGTAGCAAAAAGTGGTGTAATTCCATTAATTTGCATGCACAAGCTCTAAAATGTTGCTAATTTTTATAGATAGCTGGGCTTCTTAGAATACGATTTAAGGCTTTGAATAAACTCTAATAACACAGCAATTTTACTTTATGATCACCAAATCTAAATTATGAATAACTCACCTAGTATGTAAAAATCAGTTACAGGAAGTTGGATCATCTCTAGGCTCTCCAGGAAGACACTCATTGACTATATTCTAAGAATTGCTGAACTAAATCATTTTTGCAGTTCCTTCCACTTCAGAAAGCTTTTGGATTCAAGGTACCCAACCTGAATTAGAATCTTAAAGATTTTCTCAACTGAGAGCATAAAAAAGATTCATACATATTTTTTAAATTGTTGCTTTCTTCTAAAAAATCATTTATAAAATCAATTTTTAATACAATAAAAGATTTTGCCCTCTAATAAAACTTATGAAGCAGTTTCCTTTGCTTCAAGAGATAAAAGAAATAATACTTCGGAAATACTTCAAAAGATAGGCCAGGTGCAGTGGCTCACGCCTGTAATCTCAACACTTTGGGAGGCTAAGGCGGGCGGATCACTTGAGGTCGGGAGTTCGAGACCAGCCTGACCAACATGGAGAAACCCCGTCTCTACTAAAAATACAAAATTAGCCGGGCGTGGTGGCGCATGCCTGTAATCCCAGCTACTTGGGAGGCTGGGGCAGGAGAATTGCTTGAACCCAGGAGGCAGAGGTTGCAGTGGGCCAAGATCGTGCCATTGGACTCCAGCCTGGGCAACAAGAGCGAAACTCCGTTTCAAAAAAAAAAAATCAAGATAGAGTGACTATCCTTAAGTTGAGGAACATATTCAATTTTCTCTAATCTACAAAGATATTTCACTTCTTTAGTCTACCTCAATCAGGTCATAAAACTTTGACTCTTTAAAGCATTTTGAGCAGTTAATTTCTAGAGTGAAAACTGTAAACTTTCAAAAGATAGTTTTAGACATATATTAAAAAGTATTCTCATGTTGTGTGGCATATAAGTACCACATATAGAAAGATAGATTTAATCTATACTTTTTAGTACCTGCCATCTAAGACAAACAGCACTACCAGAAAAATAGAACCATATGCAACTAGAATAACAAGTGAGCAAATGTGTTTTAAAAATATATAGTATTGGGCAGGGCACGGTGGCTCATGCCTGTAATCCCAGCACTTTAGGAGGCCGAGGCAGGCGGATCATGAGGTCAGCAGTTCAAGACCAGCCTGGCCAATATGGTGAAACCCTGTCTCTACTAAAAATACAAAAATTAGCCAGGCATGGTGGCGCTCGCCTGTAGTCCCAGCTACTCAGGAGGCTGAGACAGGAGAATGATGTGAACCCGGGAGACAGGAGGTTGCAGTGAGCCGAGATTATGCCACTGCACTCCAGCCTGGGTGACAGAGCGAGACTCTGTCTCAAAAAATAACATATAGTATTGGCTGGCTGCAGTGGCTCATGTCTGTAATCCTAGCACTTTGGGAGACTGAGGCAGATGGATAGCCTGAGGTCAGGAGTTCCAGACCATCTGGCCAACATGGTGAAACCCCGTCTCTACTAAAAATACAAAAAAATTAGCCTGGTGTGGTGGCGTGCACCTGTAATCCCAGCTACTCGGGAGGCTGAGGCAGGCAAACTGCTTGAATCAGGGAGATGGAGGTTCCAGTGAGCCGAGACCATGCCACTGCACTCCAACCTGGGCAACAGAGCGAGACTCTGTCTCAATAAAAAAAAATTTGTATTATGTTCAAGAAGGAAAGCAAATGAATAATAAAGTCAGATTTTTTTCACAACCTCACCCCAAGATCACTGTAATAGTCTTTTTTTTTTTTTTTTTTTTTTTTTTTTTTTGAGACAGCATTTCACTCTTGTCACCCAGGCTGGAGTGCAATGGCATGATCTCAGCTCACTGCAACTTCAGCCTCCCGACTTCAGACAATTCTCATGTCTCAGCCTCCCGGGTAGCTGGGATTACAGGTGCCCGCCACGCCACCTGGCTAATTTTTGTATTTTTAGTAGAGATGGGGTTTCACCATGTTGGCCAGGCTGGTTTTGAACTCCTGACCTTAGGTGATCTGTACGCCTCGGCCTCCCAAAGTGCTGAGATTACAGGCGTGAGCCACTGAGCCCGGCCTTGTAATACTCTCTTAATATTCACTCCTCCAAATCATTTTATACACTGCTTTCAGATTCATCTACATAAAAATACTAAATGACAAACCATTACTTGCAGAATCAAATCCAAAATCCCTGGTCTAGCACTCAAAGCCTTCCATAAATTTGGTCTCTATCTGGCATATCCATCATTATTCCTCTAAACATCACTCACTTCCTTCCATCCTGCCTTAATATTTTTTACTAATTATACCCTGAATAAACTGAGCAATTAATTCCATATTTAGCCTTGCCTCTTGCTATTCTCTCACCTGGCATGGTTTCCTTGCTCATTTTCAATCCTATGATCCCTACGTTCATGTGCAATTCAAAGTTTATGTTCTCTTAAGAAAGCTTCTCCAACTACTCTAGTGTGGAGCAATCACTGAATCTTCACAGGCTTCTCCTGACTTTTAATTATTTATCTTTTTGTAGAGAAGGCTTAATATTAATAGTTATAATAACAATAAAAATAGTTGCTTTTATTTAATGGATGTTTACGTATGTGTAGCCTTGTAATAGGCACTTCATAGACATATTTTCTCAATTAATATTGAAAATAACTTTGGGAGGTAGATATTACAATTATCTCTATTTATAAGGAAACTAGAAACCTGGAGAATTTACTACCCAAGTCATACAACTAAGTGACAGGGCTCAGATTTTAACATGTAGCTAAATGTCTTACAGAGCTCATGTTCTGATCCACTTCTCCCAGATCTAAACAGTAACTAGCTTAGACCAAGCAGTTCAAAGGTGATTATTTTATAGTTAACTCAAAAGTGGACCTCAACGTTAGTTTCAAATACAGAATATTTCAGTAGTTTACACTGAAATTATTGGTATTATTTTCTCTAAAATTAGCTATAATATTTCACAGAAGGAACCTAATGAACAAGAAAAGAAAAACTGTTCTCACTACTTGTATTTTTATTATTTTTTTGAGACGGAGTTTCGCTCTTGTTGCCCAGGCTAGAGTGCAGTGGCGCGATCTCAGCTCACTGCAACCTCTGCCTCCCAGGTTCAAGCAATTCTCCTGCCTCAGCCTCCTCGGTAGCTGGGATTACAGGTGCCTGCCACCACGTCCGGCTAATTTTTTTGTATTTTTAGTAGAGACAGGGTTTCATCATGCTGGCCAGGCTGGTCTCGAGCTCCTGACCTCAGGTGATCCACCCGCCTCAGCCTCCCAAAGTGCTGGGATTACAGGTGTGACGCACCGTGCCCGGCCTCTCACTACTTTTCAAACAACTTTTAACTTCTCAATATCAACAAAATTTGGAATAGTAAATGACTAAGACCGGGCGCAGTAGCTCATGCCTGTAATCCCAGCACTTTGGGAGGCTGAGGCAGGTGGATCATCTGAAGTTGGGAGTTTGAGACCATCCTGACCAACATGGAGAAACCCTGTCCCTACTACAAATACAAAAAATTAGCCAAGCATGGTGGCACATGCCTGTAATCCCAGCTACTCAGGAGGCTGAGGTAGGAGAATTGCTTGAACCAGGAGGCGGAGGTTGCGGTGAGCAGAGATCACGCCACCGCACTCCAGAAATGACTAAAACTTTATTACTTTAGCCAAAGGAGTCTGGTAATAAAATGTAATAACATTTACTTGGATACATACTTTGAAAAGTAACAACAAATTTTAAGACACTTTATTCAGAAATATAGGTATGTAGTCAACATCTTAGTAGTAAAGTATTCAGAGACAGACAGATTTCAGTTCTATCGCTTAAGCTGTGAAGTCTTAGAGAAGATAATTAACCTCTCTGAGCCTATTTCCCTACCTCTAAAAGTGAGGATAAACAAATATCTACCTTTAATAGCTGTTATGAGGACAGTCTAACAAAGCATACACTTAAAAACAGCAACTGATATTTTTAATATCACTAGAAGACCAAAAGTATTTGAGTTGAAAGAATCTAAGTCCATTAGATATAAAAAAAGGTAAAGTTTATCATAAAATAAACATTAAGTTCTACAGACAAGGCTTAATATTAACTTTTCTTCTGAAATTATAGTAAAAATAAAGTAACTTACCATCCGTTTTTCATTTAAATCAATGTGACAACAGCCTTCTTCATAAGCCAAGAATTTCCACACCCATTTTCTTCTCTACTAACAATTTATTTTAAAGTTTAACTTTTTTTGATCATTTAAGAACCCCAAACAAGACTGAACCAGGAATTCAAGAAAGGCTGGGACCAAGTTAATATTAGTCAGCAAAACTGCATTTTGCTATCAATCATTAGACTGTTCCTACACTGGAGCCTGAACAAAGGACATTCACTAAACTAAAATTTACAAACACCGCAATCTAATAGTGACTCTCAATTCCACAGCAATATAAAAGACATAAAAGTTGGGCTCTACCTTATTCCAACAATGTAAATTTGTTAAAGAATCTACCACCTAACTAATGATAAAGCTACCAGCTGACTACATTTTACTGAAGGGGGCACCTTTACTTTAGGTAACAGAAATATTTCTAAGAGTCTATACATCAATATATAATGGAGTCACTCAAAATGCAACAAGAGAATTGAAAATGAAATTATTCTGGAGTAAAATCTTTTTGTACAGTGAGAAAAAAATGACAAATCATCATTTAGTCCATCCTACTAGTGATTTTGTTTTAATGTATTAGGTAAGGTATACTTTTCCTGCTACCCACTACTTGTTTAATTTCAGAATTCAATTATGATCACAGGGTAGAAATGTTTATTAAATCTTTATATTTTTATAAAAAGAATATATGTGGCAATTGCTCTTATTTTAACTGTTTCATTCCCACTATTACTCATAGCTGCATGTGATTTGAGATTTGGAGGCATTTAATTTCCTCAAATGTTAACATTCTCTTGATTTCACTTAAGACAAAGAGGTTTTGGGAGAAAACAAATTATTCTATCAGTATGTCTTTCACTATATGGCTGGAAGGATAGATAAAATAAGAGGAGGAGGATGGAGCAGAAATATCAGAAAACTGGTGTGCTCCAACAAACTTTAAGCTATTTGCAATTTTCATTTTTTTTTTTTTTTTTTTTTTTTTAGAGACCGAGTCTGACTTTGTCGCCCAGGCTGGAGTGCAGAGGCGCTATCTTGGCTTACTGCAACCTCCACCTCCCAAGTTCAAGCAATTCTCGTGCCTCAGCCTCCCAAGTAACTGGGACTACAGGCATGTGCCACCACACCTGGCTAATTTTTGTATTTTTAATAGAGACAGGGTTTCGCCATTGTTGCCCAGGCTGGTCTTGAACTCCTGAGCTCAGGTAATCCACCCATCTCGGCCTCCCAAAGTTCTAGGATTACAGGTGTGAGCCACCATGCCTAGCTAGCTATCTGTAATTTTCATATCATTTAAAGTATCTGTAATTCTCAAGGAGTTAAAGCATTATTTTAAAAATACTTTTTAAAAGTTTGTTGTTAATATATTTTAAAAACAAAACCCTAGCTTACATCAAACACTTCACAGTTACAGATGATAGAACCTATGTCATATATGAACTACTCACCGAAGTTCGATCAGGTTCTCCATCTGCCAAACCTCCCTCCATAATGAAAGAAGATAGGTTTATGCTTCTCTTTCCATTAATGTGCAGCCATTCTGTAAATCTGCAAATCCTAAAATAAGAAAATGATATTTATTAGGACTGGTATAAAACTGTGACAAGTAGAAATAAAGCATTGAGTTTGTTAGAAGGGAAAAATCATTTTAGTCTGAGGTTATTTGGAAATTCAATAATTAAAAAAAAAATTGACATGGGCTTGAAGAATGGTAAAGGTTCAGAGAAAAATGAAAGAAGAAAAAAATATTCCAAGTGAAGAAAAATAGTAAGAGCAAGGTTAAACATGAGACTGCCTAAAATTTGAAAGGATGCATAAATCTACTTACAACTAATGAAATAAATTAGTTTTTCATTATTACATTGGTAAAAACTAAAAAGTATGCTAAAATCCATCATGGGAGAGAATGTGGGGAAACAGATATTCTCATGTACTTTTGTTATGAGAATATAAATCAGGACAATTTTTTGAAGGACAATTAAAAATATGTATGTTTTAATCCAGCAATTTCAAGACTAGAAATTTTCCCACAGATATACAAATGCCCAGAAATATATAAACAATTCCAACACAGTAATAAATCTGATGAAAAAAACTAGAAACAACTTAAATGTTGATGGCTAGAAGCTTCCTTAAATTATATTACAGACATACAATAGAATATCATGCAGCAATTTTAAAAAATGAAGTAGATCTATATATACTAAACTGGAAAGAGGATCACAACACATAAGGTGGGAAATGTGAGTGATGGAACATTTTATATATATAAGATACTCTTTGCTTCTGTATATTTCCATTTTTACCATGAATATGTATATCTACAGGCATGCCTTGTTTTATTGTGTTTCGCTTTACTGCACAAAGAGATACTGCCTTTTTTACAAAATGAAGGTTGGTGACAGCCTTGCAGCAAGTAAGTCTATCGGTACTTTTCCAACAGCATGTGCTCACTTTGTGTCTCTGTGTCATAGTTTGGTAACTCTCAAATATTTCAACCCTTTTCATTAAAGTATCTGTTCAGCAATCTGTGATCAATAATCCTTGATATTACTATTGTAATCATTTTGGGGCACCACAAACTGCAGCCATATAAAACAAGTAACTGAACTGATAAATGTAGGAGGTTTTGACTGTTCCACCCATCTGCCATTCTCCCATTTTCTCTTTCTCCCGGCTCTTCTCTATTCCATCAGTCACAATAATATTGAAATTAGTCCAATTAATAACACTACAAAGGCCTCTAAGTGTTCAAGTAAAAGGAAGACCCACATATTTCACTTTAAATCAAAAGCTAAAAATGATTAAGCTTAGTGAGGAAGGCATGTCAAAAGCCAGAAGCATGGCCTCTTACACCAAACAGCCATGTTGTGAATGCAAAGTAAAAGTTCTTGGAAGAAATTAAAAGTCCTATTCCAATGAACACACAAATAAGAAAGCAAAACAGCCTTATTGCTGATATACAGCAAGTTTGAGTGGTCTGGATAGAAGATCAGGCTAATTATATAGGCAAGGCCCTAACTCTCTTCAATTCTATACAGGCTGAGAGAGGTGAGAAAGCTGCAGAAGAGAAGTTTCAAGCCAGCAGAGGTTGGTTCATGAGGTTTAAGGAAAGAAGCCATCTCTATAACATCAAAATGCAAGGTGAAGTAGCAAGTGCTACTTGGAGAAACTGCAGTAAGTTATCCAAAAGATCTAGCTAAGATCATTGATGAACATGGCTACACTAAACAACAGGTTTTCAATATAGATGAAATAGCCTTCTATTAGAAGATGCCATTAAGGACTTTCATATCTAGAGAGGAGAAGTCAATGCCAGACTTCAAAGCTGCAAAGGACAAACTGACTCTCTTGTTAGGGGCTAATGCAGCTGGTGGTTTGAAGTTGAAGCCAATGTTCATTTACCATTCCAAAAATTCTAGGGCCCTTTCAAGAATTATGCTGTAACTACTCTGCCTGTGCACTATAAATAAAACAACAAAGCCTGTATGATAGCACATCTGTTTACAGCATGGTTTACTAAAATTTTAAGCTCACTGTTGAGACTACTGCTAAGAAACAATATTCCTTTCAAAATATTACCACTCACTGACAATGCACTTGGTCACCCAAAAGTTCTGGTGGAGATGTACAAAAAGATTAATGTTGTTTTCATCTCTAACGCAACATCTATTCTGCAGTCCATGAATCAGGGAGTAATTTTAACTTCCATGTCTTATTATTTAAGAAATACATTCAGTAAGGCCATAAGCTGCCAGAGATAGTGATTCCTCTGATGGATCTGGGCAAAGTTTGAAAACCTAATGGAAAAGATTCACCATTCTAAATGTCACTAAGTACACTTGTGAGTCACAGGAGGAGGTCAAAATACCAACATTCGCAGGAATTTGGAAGAAGTTGATTCCAACCCTTACGGATGACTTTGTGCATTTCAAGACCTCAGTGCAGGAAGTTGCTACTGATGTGGCGAAAATAGCAAGACAACTAGAATTAGAAGTGGAGTCTGAAGATGTAACTGAATAGCTGCAATCTCAAGACAAAACTTGAATGAATGAGGACTTACTTCTTATGGATGAACAAAGAAAGTGGTTTCTGAAGATAGAATCTACTCCTGGTAAAGATGCTGTGAACACTGCTGAAATTGACAGGGACAGGGGACAGAGAAATTCTAGGCAGAAAACGGCAGGTCCCTGGCAAAAGCCCCACCCTCAAGTCGAAAAGCGTGAAACGGCAGACCAAAACAAGAACTTATATCCCTGTTTTCCGGCTCGAATGTTGCCTTTTCCTAAACCACCCATGGACCTGTCCTGCCCAACCCCATCCTATGCCTATAAAGACCCCAGACTCAGCCCGAAGAGAGGAGAAGCTGCTGGACGTCGGGGACTATGGCTGGACGTTGGAGAGAAGCAGCTTGACCTCAGAAAGAGCCTGATGGCGTAACTTCAGAGAAGAATCCGGTCGGAGAAGGCTGGGCTTCAGGGAAAGATTACCTACCTGCCCCATCCCCTTTTCAGCTCCCCTTCTGGTTAAGAGCCACTTTCATGGCAATAAAATCCCCCACATTTACCATCTTTCAATTTGTTCATGTAACCTCATTTTTTTCCTGGACACTGGACAAGAGCTTGGGAGCCACAAGTGTGGATACAAAAGGCTGTCACACTGGCCCCTTGCCCTTATTGGCAGAAGGCAGCCATCTCATGCAAAAAGGCAGAGGGCCCACTGAATTGTTGTTAACACTTAAGCCACCCACAGACAGCAGAGCTAACAGAGCACTGTAATATGCCCTCTGGGGCTTCAGGAGTCACAGGCACCCCACTTGGATGCTGCAGCAGAGCCTGCACGGAGTTCGCTCCTGCCAGTGCCCAAAAGCACTCGCTCTGACTCCTGCACCTGCTCACCTACACACTCCCTCCTGCAAGGGGTGGAACACAGCAGGTCCAAGTGAGTGGAGTTTGATCCTGCTGACACTGAAATGGCCACCCAGTTCCAGTGCTCATGCACTCCATTTCCCACGTTGTTCACTCACTCACTCCCTCTCATGAGGAGTGGAGAGTAGCAGGCTGAGTAAATGAGGCACCCCTGTCAGGAGTTCCATGAAGGGGTCAGGGAAATATCCTACTTCAAAAAGAAAAAAAGATTTAGAATACTACATAAATTTAGTTGATAAAACAGCGGCAGGGTTCGAGAGGATTGACTTTTTCACTAACAAAACCTACAACCTGAACTCTCACAGTAACTATAAATATTCAGAGGTCTCGGATAACCTCTCTAACAATTATTCCTTCAAACAGATAACAAAGCCAAAACCAATAAAATCAGTAGACTTCTAATCATTTTCTTGGAGTTTCAAAAACATTTTCTTATTTCTACAAGTATAAAAGGCCTTACTGAAATATAAAGGCTGGTGAAAACATTATTTAATTGGACTTTGTAAGGTTGACATTTGGCTCCTTTGATATAATCAATAGAGTAGCCCAAGAGACTACTCTGACTTTCAATTTAGAAACATTATATAAACTTTCCTTGACTACATGTATTATAATATATGGTAATTATTTGTTCCCATGAGCCAATTCTCTTCAAGGACAGAGGCTATTTTACTGATCTGTTTTTCCAGTGCTTTGCATGGTAGACATTTCATTAACAGTTGTTGCACTTAACTAATACTGCCAACTCAATTATCTAAGTGAATAAATAAGAATCCAAAACAGCAGATGATATAAAAATTATGTCTATGGGATGCACACTGATACTTGTATTTGAATACTGCATTATTATATTCTAAAAATTTGCAATATTAACAACAAAATAACAAAATATCATAAGCAGCTTTTACTTTGAAAAATATTTTACTGATTTTTTTCATGATATCCATTCAATTTTAGGGATCCATCTATTCCTAGGTATTATACTGACCACTTTGAATACATCAATTTGCAAAGCAAACAAACCCTGCCCTCATGGAGCCTATATTCTGGAAGGGGAAGACAAACAATAAAAATAATAAATTAATAAATTATATATTAGAAGATAGTAAGTGCTATAGGAAAAAGTAAAACAGGCTAAGACTACCCAGGGATTAAAGGGTTACAATTTTAAATAGGATGGCCATAGTAGGTGTCATTGAAAAGGTGACATGTGAGCAATGATTTGAAGTAGGGAGAAAATTAGCTATGCAGATATCTGAGGGAAGAGTCTGCAGGTAAGAAGAAGCTGCCAGTGCCAAGGTCCTAAGGCAGAAGTTTGAGGAATAGGAGGAAAGCAATGTAGCTAGAACATATGTGAACGAAGGGAAAAGCAGAAAATGTTTCCCCACAGAGGTAAGGAAACAAAGTATAAGTAGATCATATTTGGTCCTGTGGGCCAGGTGTTTCCAATGCATGGGCCACAGACTGATACGGGTCTGTGGCCTGTTAGGACCTGGACCACACAGCAGGAGGTGAAAGGTGGGTGAGTGAGTGAAGCTTCATCTGTATTTACAGCAACTCCCCATAATTTGCATTACCACCTGAGCTCCGCCTGTCAGATCAGTGGCAGCATTAGATTCTCATAGGAGCATGAACACTATTGTGAACTGTGCACACGAAGAATCTAGGTTATCTGCTCCTTATGAGAATCTAATGCCTGATGGTCTGTAACTGTCTCCCGTACCCTCAAGATGGACCATCTAGCTGCAGGAAAACAAGCCCAGGGCTCCCACTGATTCTACATTATGGTGAGTTGTATAATTATTAAACAGAATACACAATAAGTGTAAATGAGCTTGAATCATCCTGAAACCATCACCGCCCTCCTGGTCTGTGCAAAACCTGTCTGCCACAAAACCAGTCCCTGATACTATAGGATATATAGATATATATAGATATATATAGATATTTTTTTTTTGCTTTCATTGTGTGCACGTACACACGTGCACATTCTGGGTCAAAATTTAAAATGCACTTCTTCCTCTAAGTTGCAGTCAAAAATAGTTGGAAACCACTGGTACAGTGCATTTGGAGTAGAATCTCCACTCTGCCACCCTATCATTTTCCACCAGCATGGCTGTGAGCAAGTCCATTGCCTTCTCTGAGTCTTTGTTTTCTCATTTGCAAATAGGGAATATTATATGCTCTACATACTTCACAGGATTGTTGAGAGGACCCCAATAACATAATGTGTGTGTAAGCTTTACACCAAAGCTCCAAACCAATCAAAATTTGCTTCACAGACCAAGAAGAGCTCTACAAGTATCCTCAATGACAGCGTTTTACTGGTGAGTTTTATAATTTACATGTTTTCATGTTACTAATTAGCACCCTTTCATTTCAGTTTGAAGAATTCTCTTTCATTTTTTTGTAAGGCAGGTTTACTGGTGGTTAACTCCCTCTGCTTTTCTTTTCTGGGAAAGTCTTCACGCCTCCCTAATTTCTGAAGAACAGTTTTGTCAGATAAAGTATTCTTGGTTTACAATTTTTTTCTTTCAGCACTTTAAATAAATATATTATTCTATTCTCTCTAGACCTGCAAAGTTTCTGCTGACAAATTCACTGATAGGCTAAAGGAGCTCCCTTGCATGTGAGGATCCTTTTTTTATCTTGCTGCTTTTAAAATTCTCTTTGACTTTTGACAATTTGATTAGATATGTCTTCTTTGGGTTGAATCTAGTTGGAGACCTTTGAGATTCCCATGCCTGGGTGTTTCTCTCTTTTCCAAGATCAGAGAAGTTTTCAGACATTAAATCTTTAAATAAGCTTTCTGTCTCTCTCTATTCTCCTTGAATTCTACAAATGTTAGCTCTTTTGATGATGTCCCTAAATCTGTAGGCTTTTCACTCCTTTTCATTCTTTTTCTTTTCTGATCAAATATTTCCAAATATCCAGTGTTTGAGTTTACCAGTTCTTTCTTATGCTTGATCAGTTCTGCTGTTAACAGTCTCTATTGCGCTGTTCTTTTTAATTATTCCAACCTCTCTGTTAAACTTCTAGTTTTGTTTGTATTGTTTTTCTGATTTCATTGAGTTGTCTGTGTTCTCCTGTAGTTCACTGAGCTTCCTTAAAATAATTATTTTGATTTTTCTTTGACAGGCAATTCATAAATCTCCATTTGGGGAGGGTTGATTATTGGAAAATTATTGCATTCCTTTGGTGGTGTTATGTTTTCTTGCTTTTTCATGTTTCTTATTGCATTATGTTAAGGTTTGTTCATTGTATGGAGTAATCATCTCTTTCAGACTTTATAGTGGTTTTGGTAGGAAAAGGCCCTACCCTATGGCTACATTCTAGGGCACTGACTGGGTGGGAGTCTTTTACTCTAAGTGATATGAGAACCCACTGGAGGGTTCTGAGCAAGGAACAACATGATCTGAGATTTTTAGTTTCTCTGTATTGACAATTATAGTGAGAGAAGGGTAGAAACTGGGAATTCAGTTAAAAGGTTACTGCATTAATCTAGAAGAGAGAATATGATACAAGAATGAAGAAGAGAGCTATAAAAATACTGAGAAGAAGCAGAATTCTACATGAATTTTGAAGGTAGAAGCAACAGGATTTCCTGAAAAACTGAATATGGCGTGAGGATGAGAAAAGATACAAGATGACCTAGATTTCTGGCTCAAATGACTAGAAGGATGGTGATCATTAAATGAGATGGGAAAGACAGCAGGAGGAGTAAGGTTATCTTCTTTGGGAAAGCAGGGCAGAGGATAACCAAAAATTAGAAGTTTAGTTTTAGGAATATTAAGTTTGATATGTCTATTTCATATTCGTGTGGGCCTGTTAAGCAGGCAGTTGGATGTAAGAGTTTGCAGCTCAAAAAAGAGATCTGAGCTGGAGATAAAATTTGGGGAGTTAACATATTGATGGCATTTAAATCCATGAGACTGAATCAGACCACCAGGGAGTAGATACCAAAGGATGGATTTCAGAACTTCTTAGGCTTATGAGTCTACTTCTTAAGCTTCGGGGCCACTAATTAAATTAAAAATAAAAAGCTCATTACCAGTGTTACCTGCCTCAACAGAGCTGCCTTCTCTCTATTCCAAACTGTTGGCTGGTAAGACATCTGCAGAGCAGATAACGAGAACGTATTTAATTTCATTTTGGGTCCACTAATTAAAATAAAAAGGTCATTACTAGTATTACCTGCCTCAATATTCTAGCTATTTCCTTGGATTTTCTATAAACCAGTTATCTTCCAGTTCCTGTAAGCTGTATGTTATATGCAAAAGACATTAACAAAATATACAAATTCAGCAACATTAGGAAGAACATGGTCAGTAAACAATATAATAGCGCAGCATCATTTGACACATTTTTACTAAATGCCTCCCAAAGGAATTCAGTCCAATAAAAGAGGTCTAGCAAATAAATTACTATACAAGAGCTATATAACACATTTGGACAATGTACTGTGGTAGTTCAGACTAGTCCAAAGTGTTTGGGGGAAACTGCATAGTACTGAAGTCTGCTGCTGCCAAATGACTGGCATTTTAAAATACAGAACTATAACCAAACAAGAATACCAAAATATTATGCAAGTCTGATACTATGTCTCTATTCTCCAGACCTTGGAAAAATCATTCATAAAAGGCAAACGACAATGACACCTACTCTACACAGTTAAACAAGAAGAAAAACCACTGAATGATTTACATATTACTCTTCCATCACCATTAAAATGTCCAATAATTTAGTTATGACATCACACAAGGATCTGTCTAGGCAAGGTTCATCTTGATTAATCCTGTTGGCTCTAAAAGAGTTCTTTTCAGTCTGAAGACCTATCCTTCTCCAGTTCAGGGAAGTTTCTTCTGCTTTTTTTGTTAACCATTTCTTCCTTTCTAGTCTCTGTTCTTTCTTGCTAAAATTTGTATTAGAAAAATGTTGGAGCTCCATGTTTCTTGATTTCAATGTGATATTTAACATTCCATTTATTTTTGTGTACTTCCTGAAGTATCTTATCAACTTTATTTCCCAGATCACCTTACTTGCACATTCTACCAATTTACCATCTTTGGCCCATTTTATTCCTTAGCCCATCCACTGACTTTTAACTTTCGTCTTTTTTTAACGACACATTCTTATTCCCCAATTACACATTAGTCTCTTCTTGTTTCATGTCTGTAGTATTTTTTTTTTTGAATCTTTCTAACTACACAGGAATTTAAGTGCTCTGCTGTTTGGTGTTCTTCCGTCCAGGGAATCCTCTCTGTTTCCTCTGAAGTCATTTGTTACTTCTTCTTGACCCTTCCCCTTCTGTGCTGTTGGTTTTCCTCAAGTATCTGGTGATCCTGAGTTGTCTAACATGTTGATGAATAAATGCTGTGTAATTTTTTTTTTTTTTTTGACAGTGTCTTGGTTATGCTGTTGCCCAGGCTAGAGTGCAGTGGCACAATCACAGCTCACTACAACCTCAACCACCTGGGTGCAAGCAATCTTCTCACCCCAGCCTCCTGAATAGCTGAGACCACAGCAGGCATGCACCACCAGACCTGGCTAATACATTTTTTTTTTTTTGAGACAGAGTTTCGCTCTTGTTGCCCAGGCTGGAGTGCAATGGCAGGATCTCAGCTCACTGCAACCTCCGCTTTCCAGGTTCAAGTGATTCTCCTGCCTCAGCCTCCCAAGTAGCTGGGATTACAGGAACCTGCCACCACGCCCAGCTAATATTTTGTATTTTTAGTAGAGATGGGGTTTCACCATGTTGGCCAGGCTGGCCTCGAACTCCTGACCTCAGGTGATCCACCCGCCTCAACCTCCCAAAGTATTAGGATTACAGGTGTGAGCCACCGTGCGTGGCCTTGGCTAATATTTTTAACTTGTGTAGAGATGTGGTGTCACTCTGTTGCTCAGGCTGGTCTTGAACTCCTGGCCTCAATCCTCTCACTTCAGCCTCCCAAAGTGCTGGGATTACAGACATGAGCCACCACGCCTGGCCCCATCCTTCATTTTTAACAGACAGTATGAATACTGAGGCTTTAATACCCTTAAGTGTTTGTACCTGATAAAAGAGACTCGGTTATGTACATTTCAGTGATGTGTTCCCACATTCCACAATACATGAACTAAGTAAGGAAATATTTTTATCAAAATTTTTTTAACTAAAGGGAGATAGATATTGCAGTGTATCTGTATAGCTTAGGAATCAGCAAATTTTTTTTTTTTTTTTGTAAAGGGCCACACAGCAAACAGATTTTACTTTCGACTTTGCAGATGATAGGATTTCTATTGCAACTACTTAGTTCTGATGTTGTAGCATGAAAGCAACCATAGAAAAATGAATAAACAAAATGAGTCTGATAAACTGTATTTACAAAAATAGGAGTAGAGCATACTTTGGTGATTCCTGGTGTAGTGTTTCAGGTTAACATCGCGTGTAAATAGCACAATTGTATGCATAATAAAGGAATCTTTCCTGGTGACCCCAAATCTTGCCCTCACAGTTTTTCTCCTTTGTTTAGCTCCACTTAGACCTACACCTAAACCCTAAAAGTAGCTTCTTTGCTCAGCATGTGTCTCACTACTAACTTTATCACTTTCTGAAGCAGTATGTTCCCTGTATGTTTTAATATTAGCTTCTTCTGAATTCTTCTCTACGTGGTTTTTATACTTCTGTCCAAACAACTTTTTTCTGAGTTTTGGTGCCCTTAAAGCCTAGGCAGCTTATGTAAGGGCTTAAGTGCATAAGGTCCTTTTTTACTGTACCTTTGTAACATGAGGCAAAAGAAGTATAGCTAAGACAGGAGTTTCTTTTGATTCTCTAATAACAGAAGAGACTCTTATATAACACTTCTCTCCATAACTTGTACAAGCAGTAGTGTGTTAGGATTGGGCATTTTTATATCAAAAATATTAACTAAGGAACACATGAATTTATATAGATTGTTTTTGTTGAACACTTTCAACACTTTTCAACACAAAGCAACTGTTTTTGTGTGAACATTTTCCTTATCATTCCATTTTAAGGATATGGATGCATTTTCAGTGACTAGCATGTGATAAATGCCCAATAAATGTTTGTTAGTCAATGAATGGCATATAGATATTTCTCAGGCAAATGATTTTTTAAAAATCAGTATTTGGGCTGGGCACAGTGGCTCACACCTGTAACCCTAGCACTTTGGGAGGCCCAGGCGGGCGGATCACCTGAGGTCATAAGTTCGAGACCAGCCTGGCCAACATGGCGAAACCCTGTCTACGTATATAAAGAAGAGGTCACACAATGTCAGGAAACTGGCTCTGATTCCTGATTCTGGTCCTTTTTCTAGCCAATATTTTAAAAAATCAAAAACTGTACATAACAGTATTAATTTAGGGTTTGTCTTGAAACTATGGATGCAACACTTAAGCAATGACTGATTAGAGCTGAGTAGCAGCCATCCACTTTACAAGGTGCAAGCACGCACCTCTCACACCATGTTTGCATCTGTACTTTCACTGTTTCACTCATTTTTGCTACCTGTCCAGGTTGTGTAAGTATTTGAGTCCTGACAACTGATTTAAAGTATCTATACAAGAATCCTTTTTAAAACAAAGAAATGTTCAAATGCTTTGAACGCAGACATTTTATAAGCTCTCATTTGAATTTCTTCTCTATCAGGTACCATCCTTTCTGTGACTAAGTTTTCTATCTATGCTTTTGAGCTAATCCCTCTGGCACTTAGTGGTAATAAAAGCCTCCCCACTTTTTTTTTTTTTTTTTTTTTTGAGACAGGGTCACCCAGAATGGAGTGCAGTGGTGCCATCACATCTCCCTGCAGCCTTGACCTCCCAGGCTCAGGTGATCATCTCACCTCAACCTCCAGACTAGCTGGGACTACAGGCACACACCACCATGCCCAGCTACGTTTATTGTTTTTTGTCTTTTATAAAGATGAAGTTTCACCATTGGGATGGTTAACACTGAGTGTCAACTTGATTGGATTGAAGGATGCAAAGTACTGATCCTGGGTGTTTCTGTGAGGGTGTTGCCAAAGGAGATTAACATTTCAGTCAGTGGACTGGGAAAGGCAGACCCACCCTTAATCTGGTGGGCATAATCTAATCATCCACCATCGAATATAAGGCAGGCAGGAAAACGTGAAAGGGGAGACTGGCCTAGCCTCCCAACCTACGTCTTTCTCCAGTGCTGGATGCTTCCTGCCCTCAAACATTGGACTCCCAAGTTCTTCAGTTTTGAGACTCAGGCTGGCTATCCTTGCTCCTCAGCCTGCAGACAGCCTGTTGTGGGACCTTGTGATCATGTAAGTTAATACTTAATAAACTCTATCTATCTATCTATCTATCTATCTATCTATCTATCTATCTATCATCTATCTATCTATCTAATCTATCTAATCTATCTATATCCTATTAGTTCTGTCCCTCTAGAGAACCCTAATACAGCCATGTTGCCCAGGCTGGTCTTGAATCCCTAGGCTCAAGCGATCAAGCGATCCTTCCACCTCGACCTCCCAAAGAGCTGGGATTACAGGCATGAACCAAAGTGCCCAGCCCAGTAAAAGCCTTTACTTCAATATCAATTTGTCAGCCAGGTACAGTAGCTCATGCCTGTAATCCCAGCACTTCAGGAGGCTGAGGTGGGCAGATCACCAGAGGTCAGGAGTTTGAGACCAGCCTGGCCAAAATGTTGAAACCTCGTCTCTACTAAAAATACAAAAATTAGCCGGGCATGGTGGCTAATCCCTGCTGTAATCCCAGCTACTCGGGAGGCTGAAGTAGGAGAATCACTTGGACCCGGGAGCGGAGGTTGCAGCAGGCAGAAATCACACCACTGCACTCCAGCCTGGGTGGCAAAGCGAGACTCCATCTCAAAAAAAAAAAAATTTGTCCTGTTAGTCCTTCCATTGCCCATAATGCTCAAGTTTCCCTTACTCTCAATAAGGCCCTTTTCTGTTCTAGTTGCCTCAAAGCTACCCTCCAATGATCCTTTACCTGCCCTGGAAGATTTCTTAAGAGTGTTCAAGCATTCATTTCCTCTATCTTTGCCCCTGCCTTCACGCCTACATATTATATCAGTTTTATACCTAGTTTTATAATCTAATGCACAGAAGTGATCATGTCGACTTAATATCAAAAACTTCAGCTGTGCTTATTAAAGATTTAAGTCCAAATCTTGCCTTGGCATTGGAGGGTAACAATTATTTTGCTTATACTTGCCTTTCTCAGTTATTGCTTGCTTTCTCTGACCCTTTGTGTCAGCCAAATTGAGTTATTTGCTATTCTGCATATACACCAGTGCCTTCATAGATCCTATTCTTATGACTTCATATTTCCATGCCTTTGCCTGCATTCTTCCTTCTAGAAAATATTTCTCTTGCAAAACCAAACCCAACCCACCCAGTGAAGTCCAAGTCATATATTACCTTCTTCACGAAGGCTTCCTTGATTTCCCCTAACTAGAAGTATTCTCTTGATTCTTGAACTTCCAAAGTTCATATATCACTTAATACTATTTAAGTTTTTAAAATTTGTTTATATAAATTTGTTAAAATTGCATATGTTCCTATCTTCCCTATAAGATTATATTTTTAACAATAATGGATTACAACATATTCATTTTATACTTTCCCCAATACTTTTATAGTTTCTTGCCCTGAATGAGTGGAGCCCATCAGTTTTAAAGTACAAATCTTCCTTCAAGGACTACATGCTGAAGAATTTAAAGATTTTCCTTCTTTTTTCTTTTTTTTCTTTTTTCTTATGACCAGGGTAAGAGAAAAAAAGAATTTCTTAAAAGTATAGATGTTAGAAACAAGCCTCTGCTTTTACAGGTGATCATAAAAACTGATTACCCAGGGGCCACATATATGTTTGGAACCATGTTTTACTCAGTCCTCACAAAGTCTGGCAAAGTCATTCTGCTAACGTTTGAATTTACTGACATATAAGCAGTTCAGTTACTACTGTGTACTTAACCACTTCAAAAATGCCCTTTTATCTGCCAGGTCCTAGTAGGCATCTGAGTTTGTGCCAGTAACTTTGGTTAATAAACTTATAAAATATTAGGTGATTTGTAATTATTTATTGAGTAATTGTATGTGTGTGTATCTTTACACACACACACACACACATAGACACATATACATAAGTGTGTGTTTTTATAATACCTTTGGGTGCTTTATTCATGTTTTCTTAGATTTAAATCCCAATTTATAATTAAAATAAATGCAGTGCCTTCCTCAACCCTCATTATCTGGAAATGTGGATTCCTTCCCAATACAATTTTCACTTAAATGAATCTTGCATTTTTTAACATGTAAGCTGGGGGTCAGCAAACTATAGCACACAATGTAAGAATGGTTTTTATGTTTTTAAAGGGCTATAAAGAAGAAGGAAAATAGAAGGGAGAGGGGAGAGAAGAAAAGGAGAATATGTAACAGAGACAATATGTAGTCCACAAAGCCTGAAATATTTACTATCTGGGCCTTTATAGTGAAGATATTTGTGTCCCATGTGAATGCTCACCAACAGGTGATCTTAGCAGAGAGGTATTTTAATGATCAAGGAAATAGGAGAGCCCATTCTGTGATACTAGTCAGCCTCTTTCTCCAGCCACTGCTGTCATTCCACAGTGGGCTCATGAACAAAGTAGCCATGGTGACAGGGATGGAGGTTATGCATGGCTCAGCAACATGGACTTCCACTCACCAAAGCTGACCTGGCTAGAGCCACCGCTGAGTGCCCAACTGACCAGCGGTAGAGATCAACACCAAGTCCTCAATACAGCATCACTGTGGAGGGTCATTAGCTAGTTGCCCAGTGGCAGGTAGATTACGTTGAGCTGCTTCCATCACGAAGGGGCAGCATTTTGTTCCTACTTGAATAAATTTCTCTTCCCTCCATGCAATGCTTCTGCCTGAACTAACATCCATAGACTTAGAGTGCCTCATCTACCATAATAGTAATACATACAGCATTGCTTTGGAAGAAGAAACTCATTTCACAGCAAATGTAGTACAGCAATGAATCCATGCTCAGGGAATCCACTGGCCTTACCATGTTCCCCAACATCATGAAGTAACTGGTTTGACAGAACAGTGGGGTGGCATTTTGAAAACTCAATTGTAGCATCAGCTATGGAGCAATTCATACATGGATCGCCAGAAGGCTGTATATGCTCTGGGTCAATATGCAACATACAGTGCATTTTCTCCTATAGCCAAGGTGCATGGCTCTGAGAATGAGAGGGAGGAATGGAAGTGACATCATCCACTATTACCCCTATTGATCCACTAATACAATTTTTGCATCCTGTCCCCATAACCCTACGCTTTGCCAGTCTGGAGGTCTTAATCCAAAGAGAGGAATGCCTTCACCAGGAGACACAGCAATGATTCCACTGAACTCGAAGTTAAGACTGCCATTTGGCCACTTGAAGGTCCCCATGCCTCTGAATCAGCAGGCAAAGAAGGGGGTTTACTAGGCTGGCTGAGGTGAGCGATCCTAATTACCATGGAGAAACTGGACTGCTACTCTACAATAGAGGTATGGGAAAGTATGTCTGAAATACAGGAGCTATTTCAGATACGATGGGATATTTCAGATACGATGGGATAATATGATGGGATATCTTTTAGTACTGCATGTTCGGTGATTAAAGTCAACAGAAAATCACAACAATCCAATCTAGACAGGACTAGTAATCGCCTAGACTCTTCAGGAATGAAACTTTGGGTCATCCTACCAGGTCAAAAGCCATGACCAGTTGAGGTACTTGCTGAGGGTAAATGAATACAGAAGGGATAGTGGAAGAAGGTAGTTATAAATACCTGCTACAATTACGTGATCAGTTACAGAGACAAAAATTGTAATTTCTGGGATTATTACTTCCTTATTGTTTTATGAATACAGTTGTGTATCAAATATCTTTGTTTTCTTTCCTCTCTTATTGCTTTATCATATAAGATATAATGACTTTATTTCATAGCATTTAAGTATTGTTAACTCTACATTACAGTATTTCAGTTACAGAATAACAAGAAAAATGAACATCACCCAAGGACTTTACATTCTCTTTGGGGAAAAAGTACATTTTACGCAAGACAGTTGTACCGTTGGGTGGAAGCATGACTTTGTTATTGTCTTTGTTTGGAGATTAACTATTGTATTAATTTTCTAGCGTTGCCATAATAAAATACGACAAACTGGGGGTAGCTTAAACAACAGAACATTATTTCCTCATAGGTCTGGAGGCTAGATGTCCAAGATCAAGGTTTCAGCAGGTTTAGTTTCTTCAGAGACCTTTCTCCTTAGCTTGAGATGGCCATTTTCTCCCAGAGATTTCACATGGTCTTCCCTCTGTACGTGTCTGTATCCAAATTTCCTCTTCTTATAAGGAGACCTGTCATACTGAATTCGGGTCCACCCTAGTGACCTCATTTTAACTTAACTATCTCATTAAAGACCCTGTCTCCAAATACTGTCACATTCTGAGGTGCTGGAAGTTCAAACTTCAATATGCATTTTAATGGGATACAATTCAGCTTATAACAAGTATGTTTTTTTTTATTTTTGAGACGGAGTCTCGCTTCTGCCACCCAGGCTGGAGTGCAGTGGCGCGATCTCGGCTCACTGCAAGCTCCGCCTCCTGGGTTCACGCCATCCTCCTGCCTCAGCCTCCCGAGTAGCTGGGACTACAGGTGCCCGCCACCATGCCCGGCTAATTTTTTTTTTTGTATTTTTAGTAGAGACTGGGTTTCACCGTGCTAGCTAGGATGGTTTCGATCTCCTGACCTCGTGATCCACCTGCCTCGGCCTCCCAAACTGCTGGGATTACAGGCATAAGCCACCGCGCCTGGCCTATAACAAGTATGTTTTTAAAGAGATATGGTGGGTGCCAATGTAACAAGGCATAGACTATAATGGTTCATTTTATGTGTCAATTTGGCTAAGCTATGAGACTCAGTTGTTTGGTTAAACATCAGTATAGATGTTGCTGTGAAGACTTTTTTTTTTAGATGTGTTTAACATTTAGATCAGTAGACTTTGAGTAAAGCAGGTTACCCTCAATATGTGGGTGGATCTCATCCAACCACTTAAAGGCCAAAAAAAAAAAAAAAACCTGAGGTCCTAAAAAGAAATTCTGCCTCCAGACTGCCTTCAGACTCAAGACTGCAACATCAGCAATTTGGTGGGTTTCCAGCCTGTTGACCTACCCTGCAAATTTCATACTTGCTAGTCCCCATTTTGTGTGTGTATGTGTGTGTGTCCCCACATACTGTTGGTACTGTTTTTCTAGAGTACCCTGACTAATCCAATATATATGTATATATTCATATCTTATCAATATAGGTATAAATAAATTTATTTTATCATTCATTCTGTGCTCTCCTCTGTATCATAGAAGCTAAAAGCACGGAAACTACATTTTGCAAATGTCTTTGCCTTGGGGATTATAGATGTGACTTACATTCAGCCAATGCAATGCATTTCCACAGTATTTGGAAGGTGGAAGAGAGACATAAACCAGACCACTCTTCTTCTGATGGTGAAACTGGCTGTGCAAAAATTTTAACAGTGAGAAAATTATGACAATGAAAGGGATTCGACCTAACCAACTCCATCTTGCCTTTAGCCTCCAAACTGCCCTTGGTCATTCCTGGGCATGGGCCAAGATAACTTTGGGAGAAATTTATAGTTTAAATTATGATAGCCCTTTCCAAAAGTAAACTGCCTTTGTAAAACTAATGAAAAGTCACAAGGTTAGGAGTATAAGTGGCTGAATTCTTATATGATGCCAGCTACTGTTCCAGAGGTCACAAGATTTGCAACTTCCTCAATTACTCCTGAAATAACATTATTATTATAGAACCTAAGATTGGCTTTTTGAGATGTCTTTTCAGGCTTCTGCATTTCTGGTGACTGGATGGCCTCACCTGGATCTCCTTCGTGGCTCTCACCCAGGCGTGGACTCAGCACATGAGGACTATTTTCCCACACCCCATGACTGCATTCCCCAACCAATCACAGCATTCCCCATTCCCTAGCATCCTGCCCACCAAACTATTCTTGAAAAACCCTAGCCTCCAATAGAGGAGGCTGATCTGAGTACTAATACAACTCCAGTCTCTCATTTAACCAGCTCTATGTATATTAAATTCTTTCTCTTTTGCAATTTCCCTGTGTTGATAAATTGGGTTCATCTGGGCAGCTGGCAAGAAGAACCCATTGGGCAATTACAATGGCAATAAGCTTTGACAGACATGAGGCTTTACAGTGATCACCAAGTACGCCGCTGCCAGCTACCCATATTAGTACCAACAGGCAGGTACAATGATCAGCAGCAATGACTAACCTGAAAGCTAGGAATAGCTATCCATATCCATGCCTCCAGTTTTACCAATAAATTTATCACCATCTAATTCCCCTTGTTAATTTTCTTTTTGCTTGAAGTACCTGTAGTAATTTATTTTCCTCGACGAACCTGACCTGATAATTTTTTAAAATTAAACAATTAAAATATATTGTGTATTATAATAGATACTAGAATAAAAAATAGGAAGGAAGGAGTTGTCTGATATGTCACAAAAAAAGGTAAAATTTTAGATAGGATTGCCTGGAAAGGCCTTTAGGCTTCATTGAAATGACTCTGAGTCAAGACCTCAGTAACATGAGGGGGTGAGCAATTCAAATGACTAGAAGACCCTTCCAAGCAGAAAAGGAATAAGCAAGCACAGAGACTCTGAAGCAGGAGCATGTGGCACATCTAAAGAATAGCAAAGAGACTACTGTGGCAAGTGGAATAGGGAACAGTAGTGAGCAAAGAGAACAGAAATGTAACTAAGCTGCAAATCACGGAGACCTCAAAGAACAGAAGGACTTTAATTTTTTTACTCTGAATGAGATGGGAAGCTACTGCTGAAAGGAAAGCTGAGAAATGATAAGTTTTTACTTAAGTAGGATCATTTGGGCTACTAATTGAGAAGAGATTACAAAGTAGAATGCTATCACTATAATGCAGGCAACAGACAATGATGGCTTGCACAGGAACCGTAGTAGGAGATGTGATGAATAATGCCAAATTCTTTCTATACTTTGAATATGCAGCCAAAAGAATTTATTGATGAATCAGATATAAGGTGTAAATTTTTTAAAAAAGAGAGGCAGGAACTTAAGCAGAGTTTGTGCCCAAAGCAATTGAGAAAATGAAGGGGCCATTAGCAGGTATGCAATATATTGTGGGAAGACTTGGGGAAGAAAGGGATGGATATCAGGAGCTCCTTTTGGACTTGTTCACTTTGGGATACCAGTTAAGACATCTGAATACAGATATCAAGGAGGCAGCTGAACATGCAGATGTGAGGCTGACGGGGAAGAGGTCAGGCCAAAAAATGTAAACTAGGAGTTAGCATACGGATGGAATTTAAAACCATAACATTGAATGAGATAATTTTGGAAATCTCTGTAGACAGAAAAGAACCCAAGATCAGAGCGCTGAGGTGCTCCAGTATTAAAGAATCAATATTTATAAAATGAATGAATTAATGAATCCTGATTTTTTGTTTTCAACTTTCAGAATTACTCTATATATCTATGTAAAAAGAGATTTACTCTATATGAAAAACAAGACATACACAAAATAAAAATTATAAAATCACTAACTAAAAAAGGAAGCAAGATGACAAAAGGTAAAATTAATGATAAATGCCCTAAATTCCACACCTTTGATAACAGTTAAGAAACACTGCTAATAACAAAAAATCCTGGAAGGGGAAAGTGGCTGGGGGCTTAAAGTATAAGTACACCAATCTCTTCATCCTTTAGAGGTCAAAGTCAAAAACATTTAAATGATAATAAATCTGAGAATAGGGAAGCATTTTTTAAAAGCTAAAACAGTAATTAAAAGCAAACTTAATGGCAGTAGGCTGTAAGGAACAGGCTTCGAGAGAAGAAAGGTAGTCTTCTCTGCTGTTTTAAGTATTTTAAACAGTGTATATTGCTTCTGTTAATTTTTTAAAAGTTAAGTAACTTTTTTGTAAAAGAGTATGGCATTTGACAACCATATTGACTCATTTCTCAAAACTGCCAAACTAAAGCCAGGCCTGCATCCTAATTTAAATATAATTACTAGTTGAATTCAAAGTATAAAGAAGACAATGTTCTCTCTATTGTTCCTTTTGTTATCAGTACTCCAGAAGCTGGGGAACTGGTAGCTCATTGTCTATACTTACCCTAACAAAGTTCCTAGAGAAAGTAATTTTTATAAAACTTATTCTCTATTTGGGATTTACAAATAGTTATTTCAGTCACAGGGAAAAGGAAGGAGCACCTACTAGGCAAGGTTAATGGCTTTAATACATATCTAATCATAATAACCTTAAAATAATGATTGAATATTGAACATTCAATTATTCAGTAATGAATAGTGGCTTTCTCTTATGGCAACAAGTTTTATATGATAAATATGTGACTTCCTATCTCCCAGGATGTCCCAGGAGCTTTTCTGTTTTATTACACTCATATGTAACAAAAAAAGGATTCTCAGAAGCAAAAATGTGCCGGGTGTGGTGGCTCACACCTGTAATCCCAGCAGTTTGGGAGGCCTAGGCAGGTGGATCACCTGAGGTCAGGAGTTTGAGACCAGCCTGGCCAACATGGTGAAACCCCATCTCTTCCAAAAATACAAAAAAACTTGGCTGGGCGTGGTGGTGCATGCCTGTAATCCCAGCTACTCAGGAGGCTGAGGCAGGAGAAATCACTTGAACCCAGGAGGCAGAGGTTGCAGTGAGCCAAGATCATGCCATTGCTCTTCAGCCTGGGCAACAGAGCAAGACTCAATCTCAAAAAAGGCAAAAATGCTGAGCCATGAATACATTACACTTTTAAAGAAGAATATTACTGGAAGATGGCTGGGCGCGGTGGCTCATGCCTGAAATCCCAGCACTTTGGGAGGCTGAGGCAGGCAGATCACCTGAGATCAGGAGTTTGAGATCAGCCTGACCAACATGGTGAAACCCTGTCTCTACTAAAAATACAAAAATTAGCTGGGCATGGTGGCAGGTGCCTGTTATCCCAGCTACTCGCAAGGCTGAGGCAGGGGAATCGCTTGAACCTGGGAGGCGGAGGTTGCAGTGAGCCGAGATTGCGCCATCGCACTCCAGCCTGGGCAACAGAGCAAGACTCCATCTCAAAAAAAAAAAAAGAAGAATATTACTGGAAGACAACACTATATTCACATCACTTACCTTAATTTCACTCTGCAATTTTGACTAAAAAAAGAAGTCAGATTGTAAATAAGAACAAACTGGTTTAGCTAGTCTGAACTAATCTACACTATAGTAGTCATCAGCCATACCATATAAGGATGTTACAGTCAAGAACAGACTGCATGTATGGCAGTGGTCTCATTAAGATTTACTATGAAGCTGAAAATTTCCCATTGCCTAGTGACATCACAGCCATGGTGACATTGTCAGTTGCGTTTGAACCAGAGGGACTCCATCTTGAATAGGGACTGGGTAAAATAAGGCTGAGGCCTACTGGGCTGCATTCCCAGGAGGTGAGGCGTTCTAAGTCACAGAATGAGATAGGAGGTCTGCACAAGATACAGGTGATAAAGACCTTGCAGATAAAACAGGTTGTGATAAAAGAAGCTGGCCAAATCCCATCAAAACCGAGATGGCAATGAAAATAACCTCTGGTCATCCTCACTGTTTATTATATGCTAATTATAGTATAATGTATTAGCATACTAAAGATACTCTCACCAGCGCCTGACAGTTTACAAATGCCACGGCAACATCAGCAAGTTACCCTATATGGTCCAAAAAGGGAGGAACTCTCAGTTCTGGGAATTACCCACCCCTTTCCCAGAAAACTCATTAATAATCCACCCCCTATTTAGCATATAATCAAGAAGTAACAATAAGTATAAGTAGATGAGCAGCCCATGCTGCTGCTCTGCCTATGGAGTAGACATTCTTTATTCCTTTACTTTCTTAATAAACTTGCTTTCACTTTACTCTATGAATTCACCTCAAATTCTTTCTTGTGTGAGATCCAAGAACCCTCTCTTGGGGTCTGGATCAGGACCCCTTTCCAAAAACAAGGTCAATAGTGCAAAGCAGTACCTTTTCTATGCTTAGTCATGTTTAGACACAGAAATACCATTGTATTACAATTACCTACAACATTCTGTATAGTAAAACATGTTGTACAGATTTGTAGCCTAGGACCAATGGGCTATAGCATATAGCCTAGGTGTGTAGTAGGCTACACCACCTAGGTTTGTGTATTAATAAGTACACTCTCTGATACTCACATGACAAAATTGCCTAACGATACATTTCTCAAAATGTATGCCTGTTGTTAAGTGACCCATCACTGTATCTACAGTAGATTAAATCCTGAAAGAAAATCTAATATAATGAGAGATTATATACATGTGACAATTTCCAAATATCAAGCTAGTACCAACATCCTATTCATACGTACTTTGAAAGAAAAAAATCTAAGTGAATTGCTTGATTAAAGCAGTCTATTCCAAATGGCTTTCGTCAAAATTATTTCAAAATGGTATAGTACATATGCTTCCTAGAGTATACTAATATTTTGGCACCTATGAATTATGTTAATATTTCTTCCATTCTAATACTACCACTATAATAGTAAGAAAAGCAGAAAAATGATGATGATAATAATGGAAGACTGGAAGGCAAACAAAAAGTTGGACACTGATGGACAAGAAGGAAGTGGATTAGAGGTGTGCCGTGCAAGCTATCCCACTGTGTACAACTTTAGGAAGATGGATGAGGAAGACATGCAACAGGGGAGCAGAAGAAACAAACTGAACTAATAATATCAACTATCAGAGAGAAGGGGAAAAAGCACAGTAAGTTACCTAAAAATATAAGGGAAAAGGAGAGCAAAAAATCTAGACAACTCCCTTGATCTTGACTACTTTGGAGCACAAAGGTAGGTAGATATTCCCAAAAACACTGCCTCTTCCCAAAAAACTTCGTAAAAAGCCACTTTTCTCATAGACATTAAATACATACTACTGTGCTTACAGGTGTCTATTTCAAATTCATCATAATTTAGTTTCCATTTATTTAATGACTGCCTAACAGCACATTAAAGCCCAATAAATCACTTAAATTCTGAACTAGAAGGGTGTCCAAATACTTTTCATATCTCCAGATCTAGCAAATCTTATGAAAAACTTAAAACAGAGGTATTGTTTTAGACAGATATATATGTATATACCAATCATCCAACCCAGTGACAAGTTACTAATAAAATGCACAAAGAAAAATGTACTAAAGGTTTTCTTGATCTATTGTTTTATAAATACCTACTACTTATGTAGAGTCCAGGCAAAACTATATCATCAGCATTTTGCCCCGAGGAAACCAGAATACTAACATAAGTTCAATAAAAAACAAGAAATCATTACTATCAAAATTCTCAAGGTACAAAAGAAATTTCATTTCCCATTATCTCTGAACCAACCATTCATAAAATTTACAGTTTATAGACCTTAATACCTATTACTGCTTCACTGTCGGTTATATGTCTTTTGCAGGGCTCAAAACACATTCATCAAATATTATTTATGACTGGGTGCAGTGGCTCACGCCTGTAATCCCAGCACTTTGGGAGGCCGAGGCAGGCAGATCACCTGAGGTTGGGAGTTCGGGACCAGCCTGACCAACATGGAGAAACCCCATCTCTACTAAAAAATACAAAAATTAGCCAGGTGTAGTGGCGCATGCCTGTAATCCCAGCTACTCGTGAGGCTGAGGCAGGAGAATCGCTTGACCCCGGGAGCTGGAGGTTGTGGTGAGCCGAGATCATGCCACTGCACTCCAGCCTGGGCAACAAGAGTGAAACCCCATCTCAAAAAAAAAAAAAAAAATATATTTACCTCTTGCCATATAAGAAGCACTGTTCTAGATTCCGGACATACAGAAAACAAACATCATTGCTGTCATCCAGGAACTTAGTGTATAGCCAAGAGAAAATGAAGTAAACTGATTAGTATAATATACAATGTAATGTCCCTTAAACAAAGGTATGTACATGATGTTACCTAAACCAGTACATAGGGATATTAAATCCAGACTTCTGAGGGTGGTAGAGTGAGAGTCAAAACATTTAGGCAGATTAGGCATTTAGGTTGATTCCGTGTCTTCGCCATTATGAACAGCACTGCAAAGAACTTTCACATGCATGTGTCTTTATGGTACAGTGATTTATATTCCTCTGGGTATATACCCAGTAACGGGACTGCTGGGTCAAATAGTAGTTCTGCTTTTAGCTCTCTGAGGACTCACCATACTGCTTTCCACATGGCTGAGCTAATTTACATTCCCACCAACAGTGTATAAGTGTTCCCTTTTCTCTGCAACCTCAGCACCTGTTATTTTTTGACTTTTTAATAACAGCCATTCTGACTGGTGTGAGATGATTTTGATTTGCATTTCTCTAATGATCAGTGATACTGAGCTTTTTTTCATATGCTTGTGGGCCACAGGTATGTCTTCTTTCGAAAAGTGTCTGTTCATGTCTTTTGCTCACTTTTTAATAGGGTTGTTTTTCTCTTGTAAATTTATTTAAGTTCCTTATAGATGCTGGATATTAGACCTCTGTGAGGTACATAGTTAGCAAATATTTTCTCCCATTCTACAGGTTGTCTGTTTACTCTGCTGACAGTTTCTTTTGCTGTGCAGAAGCTCTTAAGCTTAATTAGATCCCACTTGTCAATTTTTGCTTTTGCTGCGATTGCTTCTGATGTCTTTGTCATAAAATCTTTGCCCGTTCCTATGTCCTGGATGGTATTACCTAGGTCGTCTGCCAGGGTTTATAGTTTTCGGTTTTACATTTAAGTCTTTAATTCACCTTGAGTTCATTTTTATATATGGTGTAAGGGGTCCAGCTCCAATCTTCTGCATATGGCTAGCCAGTTATCCCAGCATCATTTAACTTGTTAAATTTATTTTTATTTTGGGTTTGCTGGTACATGTGAAGGTTTGTTACATAGATAAACACATGTCATGGGGGTTCGTTGAACATATTATTACATCACCCAGGTATTAAGCTCAGTACCCAATAGTTATCTTTTCTGCTCCTCTACCTCATATAACCCTCCCCGCTCAAGTAGACCCCAGTGTCTGTTGTTTCCTTCTTTATGTTCACAAGTTCTTATCCTTTAACTCCCACTTATAAGAGAGAACATGCAGTATCTGTTTTTCTGTTCCTGAGTTAGTTTGCTAAAGAAGAGAGCCTCCAGCTCCACCCATGTTCTCACAAAAGACATGATCTAGTTCTTTTTTATGGCTGTATAATATTCCATGGTGTATATGTACATTTTCTTTTTTCAGTCTGTCACTGATGGGCATTTAGGTTGATTCCATATCTTTGTTACTGTGAACAGCCCAGCACAATTTATTGAATATAAAGTCTTTTTCCCATTGCTTGTTTTTGTCAGCTTTGTCAAAGACCAGATGGTTGTAGGTATGCAGCCTTATTTCTGGGCTCTCTATTCTGTTCCATTTGTCTATGTGTCTGTTTTTCTACAGGTTCCATACTGTTTTTGTTACTGTAACCCTGTAGCGTAGTTTGAAGTCAGGTAACGTGATGCCTCCAGCTTTGTTCTTTTTGCTTAGGATAGCTTTGGCTGCTGGGCTCTTTTTTGGTTCCACATGAATTTTAAAATAGTTTTTTTCTAGTTCTGTGAAGAATACTGATAGTAGTTTGATAGCAACAGCAATGAATCTGTAAATTGCTTTGGGCAGTATGGCCATTTCAATGATATTGATTCTTCCTATCCATGAGCATGGGAGGTTTTTCCATTTGTCTGCATCTTTTCTGATTTCTTTGAGCAGTGTTTTATAATTCTCATTATACAGATCTTTCACCTCCCCAGTTAGCTATATTCCTAGGTATCTTTTTTCTTTTTGTGGCAATTGTGAATGACACTGATGTGGCTCTTGGCTTGGCTGTTTTTGGTGTATAGGAATGCCACTGATATTTGTATATTGGTTTTGCATCCTTAAACTTTGCTGAACTTACCCAAAAGTCATTCAGCAGCATGCTGTTTAATTTTCATGTAATTGCATGGTTTTGAGGATTTTCTTAGTCTTGACTTCTATTTATATTGCACTGTGGTCCAAGAGCATGTTTGGTATGATTTTGGTTCGTTTGCATTTGCTGAGGATTGTTTTATATCCAATTATGTGATTGCTTTCAGAATTTTGAGGATTTTCTTAGTCTTGACTTCTATTTGTATTGCACTGTGGTCCAAGAGCGTGTTTGGTATGATTTTGGTTCGTTTGCATTTGCTAAGGATTGTTTTATATCCAATTATGTGATTGCTTTCGGAGTATGTTCCATGTGGAGATAAGAAGAATGTATATTCAGTTGTTTTAAGGTGGAAAGTTCCATAGAGGCCTGTCAGATCCATTTGATCTAATGTTGAGTTCAGGTCCTGAATATCTTTAACTTTCTGCCTTGATGACTTGTCTAATACTGTCAGTGGAGTGTTGAAGTCTCCCACTATTATCGTGCGGGAGTTTACATCTTTTTGTAGATTTCTAAGAACTTGCTTGATAAATCTGGGTGCTCCTGTGTTGGGTGCATATAAATTTAGGATAGTTAGGTCTTGCTCGATTGAACCCTTTACTAGTAATGCCCTTCTTTTTTTTTTTAATCTTTGTTGGTTTGAAGTCTGTTTTGTCTGAAATTAGGATTCTAACCCCTGGGTTTTTTTTTTTTTTTTTTTCCGGTTTTCTGTTTGTTTGGTAGATTCTCCTCCATCCCTTTATTTTGAGCCTATGAGTGTCATTACATGTGAGGTGAGTCTTTTGAAGACAGCATAGCACTGGGTCTTGCTTTTTTATCCAGTTTGTTGCTCTGTGCCTTTTAAGTGGGGCACTGAAGGTTAGTATTAATATGTGTGGATTTGATCCTGTCATTGTGTTGTTGGCTGGTTATTATGTTGGCTTGTTTGTGTGGTTGTCTTATAGTGTCACTAGTCTGTGTGTTTAAGTGTGTTTTTGTATTAGCTGGTAGTGGTCTTTCCTTTCTATATTTAGTGCTCCTTTCAAGATCTCTTGTAAGGCAGGCCTGGTGGTTAACAAATACCCTCAACATTTGCTTGTCTGAAAAGGATCTTTTTTTTGAGATAGAGTCTCACTGTTTCACCCAGGCCGGGCTGCAGTGGCGCGATCTCAGCTCACTGCAACCTCCGCCTCCCGGGTTCAAGCGATTCTCCTGCCTTAGCCTCCCAAGTAGCTGGGGCTACAGCTGCCTGCCACCACGCCCAGCTAATTTTTTTTTTTTTTGTATTTTTAGTAGAGACAGGTTTCACCATATTGGCCAGGCTGGTCTTGAACTCCTGACCTTGTGATCTACCCGCTTCAGCCTCCCAAAGTGCTGGGATTACAAGCATGAGCCGGCTAGAAATGAAATTCTTTGTTGAACAATTTTTTCTTTAAGTATGTTGTAGGCCCTCCTCAATCTCTTCTGGCTTGTAGGGTTTCAGCTGAGAGATCTGCTGTTAGCCTGATGGGGTTGCCTTTGCAGATGACCTACCTTTAACATTTTTTCTTTCATTTCAATCTTGGAAAATCTGATGATTATGTGTCTTGGGGATGATCTTCTTGTATAGAGTCTTTCAGGAGTTCTCTGCATTTCCTGAATTTGACTGTTGGCCTCTCTAGCAAAGCTGGGGAAGTTTTCATGGACAATATCCTGAAATATGTTCTGTAAGTCGTATGCTTTCCCTCCCTCCCTTTCAAAGACACCAATGATTCATAGATTTAGCCTCTTTACATAATCCCATACTTCTCGAAGCTTTTGTTCATTCCTTTTAACTCTTTTTTATGTTTGTCTATCTTATTTCAGACAGCCAGTCTTCAAGATCTGAGATTCTTTCCTCAGCCTGGTTTATTCTGTTGTTAATACTTGTGATTGCACTGTGAAATTCTTATACTGTGTTATTCAGCTCTGTCAGATTAATTAGGTTCTTTTTTATACCAGCAATTTTGTCCTTCAATTCCTGTATTGTTTTATTGTGATTCTTAGTTTCCTTGGATTGGATTTTTCTGTACTCCTGAATCTCAATGATATTCATTCCTATCCACGTTCTGAATTCTACTTCTGTCATTTCAGCCAGTTCAGCCTTGGTAAGAATTCTTGTTGCAGAAGTGGTACAGTCACTCGCAGGACACTCTGGCCATTTACTGGAGTTCTTGAGTTACTGGAGTTCTTGTATTGGTTCTTTCTCATCTCTGCATATGGGTGTTCCTTTAACTGTAGTGTAGATTAAGTAGTCAATAGACTTCTCTTTCAGACATTTTCACAGGGCCAAGGCTTTGTGCAGGATCTTTATTTCATGGAAGCTGATTTCTTATCTTTGGTTTCAGAGGGGTATGTTAGAGAGGTATTTTTGGTGTTGAAGTTGTGGACTGCGATCCAGCAGGTGGCACTCAGGTGTACTGGTCAGTTGGTAGAATCTTGCTCGGATGGGTGGCTCCGCAATTTCCTCACAATTGCAGCCACGTTCCCTCTCAACACTCTGAAAGTATAGGTATAGATTCCTCTTCCCCTTGAGTGCTGGTTGTAGATTGCAGCTTTGCACTCCTGGGCTGCCCACTGCAGTTCTGGGGTAATCTCAGTGTTTATGTTCCTTCCTCAACAAATTCCCTGAGCAGGGGAGGTTCCCCTGCCTCTGTGTCGCTTCTGGGTGGGCCTTCATCCTGTCTTGCTTTTCTCCATTCTCCATGGGTAGAGTTGTTTCCTTGATTAGTCTTGATGCATGTACTTGGATGATTCAGCTATTAACTCACCCCTTCCATTCCTCCCTGTGAGAGCCACACATATTAGCTGCTTCTAGTCAGCCATCTTGGTGACCCCCCCACTCCCACAATGTGTTCTACAATTAAGAAATATACTTCTAAATAACCTATGGATTGAAGAAGTAATCACAGTGGCAATTAAAAACATCAAAATATTAGCGAAATGATAATGAAATACTATAAGAACTGAGGTATGCAAAGAAAATGCATAGCTATAAAAGACAGGAAAATCAAACGGCTAATCATCCATTTCAAAAAATCTGAAAAAGCAGTGGAGAAGTTCAGGATTGCCACCCCAAAATACACTGCTATGGAATATTGATTATTTTGAGCTAAAGGTACTCTGACCTTCCTTTTTCTTCCTGAAAGCAGGAGATGAAACTCCCATGTGAAAAGTGCCCTCCTTGTGCCAGAGGAAAGAAAGACATTTTTAACACCAGGGATGAAAAATCAAGACCAAGAGAAATCTGCACACATAAACCTTAATAAACTAACCTTACCTTCCTAGCCTCTTCTCCACAATTAACTGTTCTAGTCAAAACTCCATATTCTTGTCACATTTTCACAATCTGATGCTCTTTGTGCTTCCTCGTATTATAAGTATTCAGCTCTAACTGCTTTTTTGTGTCTTTGTTTTTCTGGCATAAGACAGACTAACCAGAGAAAAGCGTATGACCCTAGAAGGGTGGAGGAAAACTTTGCCTCCCTAAAGCAGCAAATTAAACCCCAAAAAAGTAAAAGAAAGGACACAAAGAGCAGTAATAAATGTCAAAGAACACTAAAACACAAAAGAGAAAAAGCCAAAAGTTAGTTCTTTGAAAAGAATACAATTAATGAATACCAAGTGAGATTTAAAAAAGGTAAAAACAGACAGCAGAAATAACCAATAATATGGTTGATGAAGGAAACATAACAAATCCTCTCAACATTATGCCATCAATGTCAATGTCCCATTTCTTTCCTTTTCTTTTCTTTTCTTTTTTTTTTTTTTTGAGATGGAGACTAGCTCTGTTGTTCAGGCTGGAGTGCAGTGGCGCAGTATCGGCTCACCACAACCTCCACCTCCTGGGTTCAAGTGATTCTCCTGTCTCGCCTCCTGAGTAGCTGGGATTACAGCGTTATGTCACAGTGCCCAGCTAATTTTTGTATTTTTAGTAGCGATGGGGTTTCACCATGTTAGCCAGCCTGGTCTCGAACTCCTGACCTCAAGTGATCTGCCTGCCTCAGCCTCCCAAAGTGCTGGGATTACAGGCATGAGCCATCACGCCGGCCCAATGTTCCATTTCTTGATCTCATGGGTGCTTATATAAGGGTTGGCTTTGTGATGACACACCAAACTCCATATTTATGTATTGTACACATGTTTAAATATGTTCTCTTTACAATTAAAAAATGTAATCATTCTATAGCAAAAATAAACAAGAGGTGGGGGGTGTGGAGGTAAGAGGCCTTTTAGAGGACTCAAACTCCAAAAAATTTCAGACAAGGTCCTGAAAAACTTTTTATTACCTACTGTAAAGAAATTTTTAATTATAAAGATAAACTAATAGTGTTTCATCAACTGTGGTTTCACCATCTATGACTAATATTAAACATAAATGTTTATTAATGTATTCATTAATAAGTTTATTTTAAGAATGGTAACTAATATCTCGTACATATATATAAAAAACAGGCTATAATTTGCTAAAATAGATGACAATGATAAATTTTAAATACTTGGCTTTAAGAGCCTAAAAAAATCAAAATTCCGTTATGTACTAGTCCAGTTTTGCATTGCTATGAAGAAATGAGGCTGGGTAATTTATAAAGAAAAAAGGGTTAATTGGGTTCATAGTTCTACCGGTGATACAGAAGCATGGCTCTGGCATCTGCTCAGCTTCTGATGAGGCTTCACTGAGCTTTTACTCATGGTGGAAAGCAAAGTGGGAATGGGCGCATCACATGGCAAGAGTAGGAGCAAGAGAGAGAGGTGGGGAGGTGCCATACTCTTTCAAACAACCAGGTCTCATGTGAACTCAGAGCAAGAGCTCTCATTACCTAGGAGTGATTGGCCCCCATAATCCCATACTTCCCACCAGGCCCTACTGCCAACATTGGAGATCACATTTCAACATGAGATGTGGAGGGGACAAACATCTAAACCATATCATTCTGCTGGCGCCACTAATCTCATGTTCTACTCACACTGCAAAATACAATCATCCCTTCCCAATAGTCTCCCAAAGTCTTAAGTCATGCTGGCATCAACTCAATGAAAAGTCTGAAGTCTTATCCAAGACTCAAGTCAAATTCCTTCCACCTATGAGCCTGTAAAATCAAAACAAGTAACTTGATAGATCAAAACAAGATACATTGGTGGTTCAGGTATTAATCAGCCAAAAGAAAGGGGCAACAGGCCACAAGCAAGTCCAAAACCCAGCAGGGCAGACATTAAACCTTAAAACTCCAACATAATCCTTGACTTCATGTCCAGCAACCTTGTGTGAGGGGTGGGCTCCCAAGGCCTTGGGCAGCTCTACCACTGTGGCTTTGCAGGGTACAGCTCCCATGGCTGCTCTCACAGGTTGGACTTGAGTGCCTGCAGCTTTTCCAGGCTCAGGGTACAAGCTAACAGTAGATCTACCATTCTGGGGTCTGGAGGGTGGTGGCCCACTTTCCATAGTTCCACTAGGCAGTGCCCTAGAGGGGACTCTGTGTGGGAACTCCAACCCCACATTTCCCCTCCACACTGCCCTAGTAGAGGTTCTCTGTGAGGGCTCCACCCCTGAGGCAGGCTTAGCCTGGGCACCCAGGCTTTCTCATACATCCTCTAAAATCGAGGGGGAAGCTGCCAAGCCTCCTTTATACTTGCCCTCTTAACACCACATGGAAGCCACTAAAGCTTATGGCTTGCACCCTCCAAAGAAGCAGCCCAAGCTGTACCTGGGCCCCTTTGAGCCGAGGCTGGAGCTGGAGCAGCTAGAATGTGGGGAGGAGTGTCCTGATGCTAAGCAGGACAGTGGCACCCTGGGACAGGTCCCTGAAACCATTCTTCCCTTCCAGGCCTCTGGGCCTGTGATGGGAGAGGCTGCTTCTAAGATCTCTGGAAAAGGCTTTCAAGGTCTTTTTCCCATTGTCTTGGATATTAGCACTTGGCTCCCTTTTAGTCATGCTAATCACTCTAGCAAGTGGTTGCTCCACTGCCTGCTTGGATTCTTTCTCTATCACAGGGACAAACTCTAAATTTTCCGAATTTTTATGCTCTGCTACCCTTTAAGATAAGTTCCAACTTTAAGTTATTTGTTTGTTCCTGTACCTGATCACAGGCTGCCAGAAGCAGCCAAGCCATGTCTTGAATGCTTAGAAATGTCTTCCACCAGATACCTTAAGTCATTACTCTTAAGTTCGACCTTCCACAGAACCCTAGGATTTGGACACAATGCAGCCAGGCTCTTTCTTTGCTGGGGTGCAAAAGGGTGACCTTTACTCCAGTCCCCAACAAGTTCCTCATTTCCATCTGAGACCTCATCAGGCTAGCCTTCACTGTCCATATTTCTATCAGTATTTTGGTCACAACCGTTTATCCAGTATCTAAGAAATTCCAAACTTTCCCCCGTCTTCCTGTCTTCTTCTGAGCCCACCAAACACTTCCAATCACAGCCCATTACCCAGTTCCAAAGCTACTTCCACATCTTCAGGTATCTTTACAGCAACGCCCCACTCCTCAGTACCAATTTTTTGTATTATACTGTTCTTGCAGTGCTATAAATACATACCTGAATCTGGGTAATTTATAAAGAAAATATGTTTATTTTGGCTCATGGTCCCGCAGGCTGCACAGGAAGAATGGTGACCACATCCGCTTTTGGTGAGGGCCTCAGGAAGGTTACATCATGGGGAAGGTGAAGGGGAGCAGCATATCACATGGTGAGTAAGGGAACGGGTTAGGGGGAATGTCCCAGACTCTTTTAAACAACCAAATCTGCATGAACTGAGCAAGAACTCACTCATCACCAAGGAGATGGCGCTAAACCATTCATGAGGAATCTGCCCCCGTGATCCAATCACTTTCTACCAGGCTCCACTTCCAACAGTGGGAATCACATTTCAACATGAGATTTGGAGGGTACAAACATCCAAACCATATCAGTACAGAAGGAGCTTATTTAGTAAAACCACCAGAAACAAGAACAGCAGTTTCCCCTCTCACCTACCTCCCACAAACCCTCCTATAAAATATCTCAGAGACCAGAGATTATAACAACTTTGAATAAAAGGCTACAAAACCCAAAATAATGGTAACTTAATTGTTTTGAAAAGCTTTGTTATAACTTGCACAAATATTCTAAATGCCTTTACGTGAATGAACTTAAAAATGTATATTGATATCACGCTAGTTCCTTTAAAAAACAAAAAAGAAAGAAAGAAACAAGAGAATATGGACTCCATTTCTTCTCTAGTGCAGAGTTCTTTCTTCCTTGGCATGCAAAGTACTTCCAGTACAGAACTGGTCACACTGTATTTCTAAATATTTGTTTATCTATCTGCCTCCCCCCATTAGATCCAAGGCTCCATAAGGAAAATCAGTTTACACAAATTAATGTGAGCCTGGTATGGGTCAAGCACTACACTACTTTCTGGAGAATCAAAGTGTACAACACACACATGATTTATGACCTCATGGACCTTACATGAGGTTACAGGATGCTTCTCATAGGAAGTGATGTTTAAGTTGAGACCTAAAGGTTAACTGGCAGTTAGCCAAACAAAGTATGGCAAGAAACATATTCCAAGCAGAGAATACAAGTAAGTCATAAGGTGGAAGGTCACTCCTATATTCTTTATTTCCACTAGCACTACACATTGCATAGTAAATGTGTTCCATCAGAGATAATGAGATGATGGGGAAAGAAAGGTGTGACAAGACGGAGGAATGAAAGAAAAAAAAATTAAGTCAATATAGGAGCAGGCCTATTATATCCAAGTTTGTGTGTTTTAGATTGACAATTTGCATTTAAATATGCTATTTAATTAGGCCTTTATAAAAATGAAAAATAACCACTAATCAAGGGTCCACCCAATAGTTGCTTCCCATGATGCTCTAAAGTACTGTGGAAGAGAAGCAATTTGAGCAGGTAAAATTTTGACATTCTTCTGCTCTACAAGAAAGTGCTCAAAAGAATAATGTATCAGAAAGAGCAAAGTATCTATTTCCATCACCTTACTTATCCAGCCATTTTCTTCCTAAAAGCACTTCTTATATTTTAAGAATCCAACAGCAGGGTCCAAATCTTTCTTACACCCACTAACTCACCACTCAGCATAGTGTGAATAATAATACTCTCAACTGTTCAAAACACATACCTTGGGTTTCCACAACAGTCAAAACTCAATTCCTAATTATGCAAACATATTGTGACTATAAAGGGGCGTAAATAACAAGACTAATGTTTCTCCCTACCAAAATAAGTGTATTAAAAAGTGATGTATGCTACGTGGAGAAACCGGAACTTGTGTGCCCTGCAGGTGGGAATGTAAAATGGTACAGCCACTGCGGAAAACAGTATGACGGTTCCTCAAAAGATTAAAAAACAGAATTACTATATGATCCAGCAATTCCACTTCTAGGTAAGTAAACAAAAGAAATGAAAGTAGAGTCTTGAAGAGACATTTGTACACCCATGTTCACAGCAGAATTATTCACAATAACTAAAATGTGGAAACAACCCATCAACAAATGAAGGCACAAGCAAAATGTGGTATATACATACAATGGAATATTGTTCAGCCTTTAAAAGGAAGGAGATTCTGACATATGCTACACCATGAATAGACATTGAGGACATTATGCTAAGTGAAATAAGCCAGTCACAAAATGGCAAATACTCTATGATTCCACTTTTATGATGTATCTACAATAGCCAAAATTGTAGAGACAGAAAGTGGAATGATGATCGCCAGGGGACAGGGGGAGGAGAGAATGGAGAGTTATTGTTTAATGGACATACAGTTTCAATTCTGCAAGACGAAGAGTTCTGGAAATGGATGATACTGATGTTTATACAATATAAATGTACACAATACCAATGAACTTTATACTAAAGAAGGGTTAAGATGATTTAAGATGATTTATTTTACCATAATAAAATAATTGGGGAAAAAAGTAAATTTTTTGTCTGGAAATACACAATTAGAGATCAAACTGAGGACATATTAACTTGCCTCAAACACAACAAATTGGTCTGGTGACATTTAGAATGAAATCAATTGTAATACTGTGATCCCCTTCCATGATGTGCTGATTATTCACACTGAGTCACTTAAAAATTAATGCTCTCATCTCATTTGTGAATAAATGAACCTGTCTTTCCTTCTAATAGGTTAATCTTTGAAGTAAAATAGACTACAAGGACAACTCATGAATTAACTAGTTCTAGAACTCAAAGTTTTAAAAGAGAAAAAAAGTTCTTCAATAAAATCCAAAAAATGAAAAAAAAAAAAGTGATATGATGCTATGGTTTAGATATAGTTTGCCTGTCCCTACCAAATCCCATTTTGAAATTTGATCCCTAGTGTGGTGGTGTTGAGAGGTGGTCCTGGTGGGAGGTGTTAGGATCATGGGGGCAGATTCTTCATGAATGTCTTGGTGCCATTCTCTCAGTAATGAGTTCTCACTCTGGCAAGATGGGATGAGTTCTCAAGGGAATAAGTCAGTTCCCAGTAAAGTGGGTTGCTATAAAGCCAGGACACCCTTTAGGTTTGGTATCTCTTCACATGTGCCTGCTTTCCCTTTGACCTTCTCTGTCATGTTCTGATGTGGCACCAAAGTTCTCACCAGAAGCTGAGCAGATGTCAATGCCATGCTTCCTGTGCAGCCTGAAGAATAATGAGCTAAACAAACCTCTTTTCTTTATAAATCACCCAGCCTCAAGCATTATTTTACAGAAACACAAAATGAACTAAGACATATGATAAATAGACAAGGTCCTAAGCCAATAGTGTTAAAAGTACTAAAATATAGTAAATTCCTATATTTATTTATTTAGAGGCAAGATGTCACTGTCACCCAGATTGGAGTGCAATGGTGTGATCTCAGCTCACTGTGAATGAGCTCAAGTGATCTTCCTACCTCAGCCTCCCAAGTAGCTGCGACTACAGGCGCATACCACCACGCCTGGCTAATTTTTGTATTTTTTGTAGAGACGGGGTCTTGCCCTGTTTCCCCAGCTAGTCCTGAACTCCTGGGATAAAGTGATCTGTCCGCCTCAGCTTCCCAAAGTGATAGGATTACAGGCATGAGCCACCATGCCCAGCCAGGTTCCTATCTAGAGTTTCCAGTAAGAAATTGTTATTTCTACTGTGTTAACCTGTATTATCTGCTCAAAAATTAACCATAAACTTATTTTTATATTTTTTAGAGGAAAACAAAATTTAAAGGAGAGTAGGGAAGGAAAGTTTACTGTTTTGTTCTTTCCACATTTCTAAAGTATTCTTCTTCCCTGAAACCAAGGCTAATGGAAGAATAAGGGTGGAGTTCACAGAGAATGTAGCAGCTATCCATAGAGTCAAAGGGAAAATTTAGAGCACTTAAACAACAGGTATTTTATAAAAAGTCAATTCCTCACTGCTATGAACTTGAATATTTATGTCCTCTCCAGTATTTGTATCTTCTCCAAGATTCACATGCTGAAATCCTAATCCCCAATGTGATGACATGTGGAGATAGGGCCTTGGGGAGGTAATCATGTCATGAGGGTGGAGCCCTCATGCTGGGATTAGTGCCCTTATAAGAAGAGATACAAGAGAGCTTGCTTCCCCTCTGTTTCCACCATGTGAGGACTCAGCAAGATGACACCTGTCTGCAAGCCAGGAAGACAGCCCTCACTGGAACCTGACCATGCTGGCACCCTGCTCTCAGACTTTCCAGCCCCCAGAACTGTAGAAAATAAATGTGTTGTTTAAGCCATCTAGTCTACAGTATTTTATTACAGCAGCCCAAGCAGACTTAGACATCCATGTACTCACTTCCAAGAAAAAGAAAACTTAAATAGCAATATAACTCTTCATTTAACTCAAAAAACAAAGAAATTATGAATATGACAAATCTTCTCAATGGCAAAGCATAACTTCCCTTTAAAAGACTATGATGACTATAAAACAATATGGAAAAGAGATTATGATACGTTAACTTTTTTAGAAAACAAAATACAGTATATAAGTACTATGAATTAGAATCATTTATAGTACATACATAAACAAAGAATGAAGGAAAGAGAAAAAATGGCACTAAGATGAATGAATGAATCCTTTAATGTTGTTAACAGACTGTTCTCATAATAAATAAAATTGGAGCTAAATAAGATATAGGAATAAAAATGTCCATAAGCACCAAACTATAACCCTAAATTAAAAACTGTCTATGAAAGCAATATAATAGCAGGCACAAAAATTTCATAGAAAAAACTATGTACAAATTTAAATCTTAGAAGATTATAAGTTATTTGTTAGGAGGTGATAATTTCAACTCTGCTGGCCTTTTAGCATCCTATAACTACTGACAGTACAACTAAAAATTTAACTTGGAAAACCAAATAAGAGTAGTAAGAGCAATTAAATTTTTTTTTAAATGGCAGGGCCTTTCCCAAATGTTTTCCATACACCATCACTGATCTTCACACAAATCCTGAAAAACGGGTATAATAATTGGAAAGTGTTGCTTTTGTTTTAAAAACAAAGAAAGGACAACCAGGTATTACACACTTCCTGATACAAAGTATATACCACTGTGAAGTTTTTTTTGGCAAAAAGAAAAAAGAAAAGAAAATCAAAATTAATTCATATCAAGACTAGAGATCTAATTACTTTTTTTTTTTTTTTTTGAGACGGAGTCTTGCTTTATTGCCCAGGCTGGAGTGCAGTGGCACAATCCTGGCTCACTGCAACCTCCGCCTCCCAGGTTCAAGTGATTCTCCTGCCTCAGCCTCCCAAGTAGCTGGGATTACAGGTGCACAGTACCACGCCCAGCTAATTTTTGTATTTTTAGTAGAGACGGGGTATCGTCATGTTGGCCAGGCTGGTCTCGAACTCCTGACCTTAGGTGATCCGCCCACCTCAGCCTCCCAAAGTGCTGGAATTACAGGCGTGAGCCACTGCGCCCAGCCATAATTACAATTTTAAATGACACACGGTGATCAATTTGCAAACTCCAGGCTGTGGTAAACTACAAAACAACTAGGCTTCTTTAACAAACTGCAAAGGGGGGTAAAAACAGGAGAAACCTATGGCTTAAAAGATACTTGAGAGGCATACTAACCACTGAGGTGTATAGACCTTGTTTGAATCCTGATACGAATAAATTTTTAAAAATTTCTCAGAATTATTTGAACATTTGCTGGATATTTTATGTCATTAAGAAATTTTCCTGATATTTTACAGGATAATATTTATATAAAGTTTATATATGAAAAAGAGTAAACAGAAAAATATACACATAAAGTAACACAATCTCTGAAGGTCTTTTTAAAAAAGTGAGGAAAAGGAATATGTGATATTTTTACCAAATATTTATTTGACATGACCATTACTTATGTAATAAGTCAAAGAATGTTCAAAACTAAATGTGAGGTTAATTACTGGTGTGTGACACAGAATATAAGTAATTTGAGGGAAGAGCAATATTCATTATGCATAAATGGTAACACTGTAGATACATATGCTCTTAACTGATAATTGATCTATTTGAACTTTAAAACGTCTACTCTCAAATTGGGGGGAAAAAACTTAAGACTACAACAAAATTAACTGCAGATCAAATATGACAAATATTTTAACTTTGAATTATTGGACAGAGGAACTGAAAATTGAATATTTACCTAATACATGAAGAAATAACTTATCTTTGAGGGAGTATAAAAAATAAAAGAAAAATGTCCCCAAATGTAATAACATTTTAAACATTTACAAAAATAAAAAAACAAAGGGAAAACTACAAAGGTAAAAACTGTAATGTACAAAGAACCCATTCAATTATGTAAAATATTAAGACTTCATTTATTTCACTGAACTAGTATTTTTGAATACCTACTACGTGCCAACCATTGTGCTAGGTGCTTATCCCTGAAGGGAGAGTTACTACAAGGGAGCACAGGAGAGCCTACTGGGGTGCTGGAAATAGTCTATATCTTCACTTGAATAGTGGTTACTTGGATATATACATAGGTAAGAGTTGTGGACTTCAGTGTAAGTTGTACATGAAAAGTTCATTTGTGTTGCTTTCCACTTCTGCTAACTGTTCTTATACACACTATTTCAATTTTAATTCACAGAACCTTGAAACAAATTTCTACATAGAGTATTACATGTCGTCTTATGACAGACGTTTTAAACAATCCAGGAGGAGAAAACAGATGTATACATTTAAAAAAAGTTTCCATTAATAGAAAATAATTACATCAGTGGGTTCTATTTATTGATATATATATCACAAAAGTATTAATTGAACGTTTTTCAAATGTTTATTTCTCCATCAGCCACATACTTTAATTATGCCGCCAGTTATGAATTTAATGATTTTCCCCCATATCAACATTTCTCAGTAGTCAGTGTACCAATTTCATAATTTTTGCTATGCACTACTAGTATACAGTTACTTAATTTTTTTTTACTGGCCTTTAACTTTGATTAGCCTCAACTAATAAAATCCATGAATTTACTGGCTTAAGTCAAAAGCTGCATATTTTCTAATATATAATATATAACTGTAAAAATTACACGAGGAGATACACAAATGTTATACTTGCTATCAGTAAATCTCTTTTTTTTTTTTTTTTTTTTTTTTTTTTTTTTTGAGACAGGGTCTCACTCTGTCACCTGGGCTGGAGTGCAATGGTGCGATCTCGGCTCACCACAACCTCCGCCTCCCGGGTTCCAGCAACTCTCCTGTCTCAGTCTCTCAAGTAGCTGGGATTACAGGCGTGCACCACCATGCCCAGCTAATTTTTGTATTTTTAGTAGAGACAGGGTTTCACCATGTTGGCCAGGCTGGTCTCGAACTCCTGACCTCAGGTGATCCACCGTCTCAGCCTCCCAAAATGCTGGGATTACAGGTGTGAGCCACCATGCCTGGCCAGTAAATCTCATTTTTAAGTCCAGAGCTCTATTGAGAACTAAGTGTGAACCACTTTACACCTCTGGACCTCAGTTTCCTCATAAGTAAAATTATGAGGCTAAAATGTCAATTACTGACACTCATTAAAATTCTAATATTCTACAATCTAACAGCCAGCAGTTTTACCTGCTGTCTATATATTGCTGACATAATCACTGCAATGCAAAAGAATGTAAGGTATACGGTACCACCTCAACTTTAAGGTCCATATTAGGACCTGTCTTTAGAGTAATAAATTAAGGAGGGTGGTGGGCCGGGGTGGGGGGGGATTGTGCAACATGAGGCAACTTACAATAACTACAACCAATCAATAAAGTACATTAATTACAGTTTTCTAAGGTTTTTCAACTTCAATTAAAACCCTTTGATCCTACCTAATCAGGAAAAAGTCAGCTCTTCAAAAGAAAAATCAGTTCAAGTAGGAAACCAAAACAATATGTTAAACATTTTATTACAACTGAAATATACATATATCTCCAATCTTTTGATGGAAAGCCTTATCATCGAGTATAAATCTGTCAATTAGAATTACATATCTTCCTTGTTTAAACCACAGCTATAATACATGGGTCTGAGAGCTCTACGGGTAGTTCTTTAAAGTGAAGCAAAATTTAAAACATTTGTAAAGCCATCAGTTTGGAGAATCCTACATGTTCCAATTACTTTCCTACCTTTTCTAGTTATCGAATTATCTTATCCATACCAAGACAGGCCCAGGGAAATGCCTACAAAAAACATTGAGTTGCAATACAGAAGAGTCCTGAGCTTAGGGAACCCAAATATTTTATAATGGACAGCAAGAATGCCTGCCTTTTCTTTTCCTAAGGAGGAAAATACTATCATTATCTTCCAAGGCTGCTCACTAGATAAACATTCTTGAAAAGGTAGTCTAGAGTAACAGGCAGTCAGTGCTTTACTTGCAAGATATGCAGAAATGCAAGAAATCAATAAAGAGTTGTCTTCCAACTGTCTGTTTATCCCTGTCTACTTAACTGCTACCAAATACAACCCCCTGTAGCATTTTACCTTCTAATATATAAGCATTATTGTTGGCCAGGCACGGTGGCTCACACCTGTAATCCCAGCACTTTGGGAAGCCGAGGTGGGCGGATCACGAGGTCAGGAGTTCAAGACCAGCCTGACCAACATGGTGAAACTCTGTTTCTACTAAAAATACAAAAATTAGCTGGGCATGGTGGCACATGCCTGTAATCTCAGCTACCTGGGATGCTGAGGCAGGAGAATTGCTTGAACTGGGACCTGGGAGGCGGAGGCTGCAGTGAGCCAAGATCATGCCACTGTACTCCAGGCTGGGCTACATGCAGAACGAGACTCCGTCTCAAAAAAAAAAAAAAAAAAAGTATTATTATTAATAACAGAAGATGAAATCATGATTCACGAGCCATTTCTAAGAAACTTCACTCTTGTAAATAAGAGTTAGTTTTGATTACCAGAATTTTTTCTATGTGCTTTTAGACAATTTGAACAATCCTTTTATATTTTATATATAAATCATGCCTTGTCGAGTCCAGTCTTAATAACCAAATGCCTCTGCAATGAAGTTAGTCATCACCCAAAAAGCTTCAGAAATTAAATGAATCAAGTGAGTACTATAGAAAGGGTACATCCTAAAATAAAAGATAGTTGTCACAAGCCAAAGAAGATAAGGAAGTGTAACAGAATCACACACACACACACACCCACACAACGATATAGCTATAGTATTAGCTATAGCTATAGCTACAGACAGCTACTAGGGAAGGCTGAGGTGGGACAATCACTTGAGCCCAGAAGGCAGAGGTTGCAGTGAGCTATAATGGCGCCACTACACTGCAGCCTGGACAACAGAGGGAGACCCTGTCTCAAAAAAATAAAAATAAAAATAAGTAAAGTATAGCAACTTTAAAATTTCATCAAATTTTTCACTTCTCCCAACCTCCTCTCAAGCTATAACACAATCTTATGCCAGAATTAACCAAGGATACCAAAGTCCAAAACAGGGGTAGTGTGGTCTACCTCTGAAAAAGCAGTATGAAGTTATTATGTCACTACTTCATTTCAATCTTAGTTTTGTTTTGTTTTTTTTTAACTATGACAAAGCTAAAATATCATTATGAATTTCAAATGTGAGAAACATTAAGGATTCTAAGCTGTTTCTTATACTAAGGGCTTCTGCTTAGGAACAACAATTATTTAAAGCATTATGAACTAACAATCAGAAACTGAACTAGGATATTAAGGTGCACACTATAAGGAAAATACAAGATAATGCTAAAACTTCAGAAAAATAAATTTAAGAAAACTGGAATCCTTGCTATTTTTCCCTTCTTGGGCACTTGTTACTATCCCCTTCCAAAAACAAATCAGTTGGTGAGTGGATTTGTAGAAACCTAATCAAAGCTTAGAAGGTATGTCAGATTACGAAACCCAGCTGAAACCTTTTGAGCCTCTAAACCATGAAGCAACTAACCATTTGTACTTGCCTTAGAATAGCAGTGTCATGCCAGCTCTGGATTACCTACCTGCTACTACCAAACAGAAAAAAAAAAAAAAAAATTCTTATTTAAGCCACTGTTCATTTGGCTTTCTATTAAAACAGTAGATCTGTATCTGAATACATCGTTGAAACCCTTTCTGTGAAAAACTGAAGAAGCTAGTGGGGGAAGAAGACTCGAGATAAGAATAGGCTCATTATTCAAAGGCCAGCATGGCTAAAGCATAGTAAGCAATGAGGAGAACTATCTGAGATAAGGCTCTAGAGACAGTAGAGTCTGGATTTTATTCACTGTGAAAGAGGAAACCAATGAAAAGCCTATGCAAGGCAGGAACATGATCCACTTTATACTCGAAGACACATTACTAGTTGCTTTAAATGCATTATTACATAATGTAGTCATCACATAAACCCTATAAAGCAAGTAATTTTTCACTATAGCCCCATTTTCAAAATGAAGACACTAAGGCTCAGAGTAGTGAAGTAACATGCTGATTGCTCATTCTGCACCATCCACAAAAGCCTCTATGATATGATATTCCTTTAACATGTCAAGCAGATTTCCACATTTTTTTTCTTTTCTTTTTAGACACAGGGTCTCATTCTGTTGCCCAGTCAGGAGTGTGGTGGCAAGATCATAGTTCACTATAATCTCAAACTATTGGAAACAAGGGATCCTCAGCCTTACTCAGCCTCCCAAGTAGTAAGAACTATAGGCACGTGCCACCGGGCCTGGCTTTTTTTTTTTTTTTTTTTTTGTAGAAAAGTCTCACTATGTTGCCAAGGCTGGTTTTGAACTCCTGGCCTCAAGCAATCCTCCCTCCTCAGCCATCCAAAGTCCTAGGATTACAGCTGTGAGCCACCACACCCAGCCACCACAAGGTTTTTGTATCTGCTGTTCTTTGCCTAAAACACTCTTCCTTATGGTTCACTCTCTCACTTCTTGCAGGTTTCTTTGTTTAAATGCCATTTTATCAAATAGATCTTCCCTGACCATCCTAGCTACAAATAGCAAAATAGCAACTTGCCTCCTCCCATTCTTTTATTCATCTTTTTACCAACTACTTTTTTTTCCAAGACACTTAACACCTGACACACACATTTGTTTATATCCCCACATGTAAGTATAGTATATTATATCCCCAAATAGAAGCGCTCCATAAGCAGTTTGTTTTGTTCAGTGAGGTATTCCCAACACCTAGAAGAGTGCCTATCACAGGAGGTGCCTATCACAGTAGGTGCTCCTTAGACACTTAAGAATTGTGGACTGGCAGAGATAAGGAGCTAACTTTATCATCAAGCAAACAGACTCTTTATAGTATAATAAAGCAATAAAGGCATGAAGGCTTAATTCACTTCCCTGAAGACATAACTAACAAAGGAGTATTAGACTGAAGATCTTCCACTTCCAGAAACAACATAAGTTCTCATCAATGAACTACATAAATGAACCCAACTATAGACATAATAAATTGCCATCCCTATTATTTTTATTAAATGTTATAGTACCATTGTGTTAGTCCATTCTCACACTGCTATAAACAACTGCCCGAGACTGGGTGATTTATAAAAAGAGGTTTAACTGACTCACAGTTCCACATGGCTGAGAAGGCCTCAGGAAACTTACAATCATGGCAGAAGGCAAAGGGGAAGCAGGGACCTTCTTCACATGGTGGCAGGACAGAGAAGAGTGAGCAAGAGCAGGGAAAATTGCCTTATAAAACCACCAGAAGTGCTTTTTAAAGTCATTGTATCACCTTTTATCACTCACTTAGCATCATAAAACAAGCACAAAGAAAAACAAGTTGTGTTACTTAAGTGACACCATTCTCCTTTTCTTAGTTAGCTTCCAAGCAGATCAGCAATCTAAATTTGACTTTCAGTAATTCAATGGTAATAAAGTATTCCCTCCATCATTCAAGTTAGGTCCAACTCAGGTTATAAAAACTAGTCCCTTCAGACCAATTGCTTGTACATTTCTACAGGCACCTTTTTGGCAAACCCACATGGATTTTAAGAAATGGAGAATGAGGAGACAGGAAAATATTAATAAGATGTATCAAACTGTGACAATATGTGAAGAGTACTGTGTATATACAAACAGGAAACAATTGAAAGCCTTCAACATGTGTGGGTTGGGGGAGAGATAACTGAATTAACAGGCCATGTAGTAAAACTTAAAATCAAATCCAGTAGTCTTGAAGGTATAGTAATTGTTTAGTTTTGAAGGTATAGTAATTAAGTACTGCGCACTAAAAAAAACTGACCAAAAGGCCGGGTGCGGTGGCTCACGCCTGTAATCCCAGCACTTTGGGAAGCCGAGGCAGGCAGATCACGAGGTCAGGAGATCGAGACCATCCTGGCTAACACGGTGAAACCCCATCTCTACTAAATATACAAAAAATTAGCCAGGCATGGTGGTGGGCACCTGTAGTCCCAGCTACTCAGGCGGCTGAGGCAGGAGAATGGCGTGAACCCAGGAGGCGGAGCTTGCAGTGAGCCGAGATCGCGCCACTGCACTCCAGCCTGGGCAAGAGAGCAAGACTCCTTCTCAAAAAAAAAAAAAAAAAAAAACTGACCAAAAAATACACAGAAATTGACAAATCTGTTCCTTAAAATTTTTCTTTTCTAAACAAAAATTTTTGTTGTGGACTGTATCTGAGGCACTATATTCTCTAAGAAGAGAAAAAAAAACTGTACTCCTTCAGCTGAAATAACATTCTAATTTCTCTGATATTCACCCCCAATTAAACTAGGTGGTATCAGAAAATGAAAAGCACTTAATATATTTAAGAAAATACCATAGTGAAAAAAAATCACTATAAATTATCTATTTTAAGCAAAACTATTTGATGTTGCTCAAACAACATAGCAAAACTAGATCATTTCACTTTATTATTTGTTAAAAATCATCTCCCTTCGTCACACACTGAATCTATGAAGTAATTAATAATGAATACAATGAATGCTTATATGTATTAGGATCATGGCAAATCTATAAAGGCTGAAAGGCTTGGGTTCAGCCAATGAAGTTAATATTGTATTATAAGATTTCTAAAAATGTTATATCCACCTAGAAACTACGGCAGTATTGGATTTTTGTTTTAACCTGTCCGGACCCATTTCCCCTTCCTCTGTTAACATCCACCTTGATCTTCTTTTGGGAAAGGAACATCCCTCCTCCAACATATGCAATCTTGGTACTCCACGCTCTCCTAGCAAAAGGAGTGGACAAAAAAAAAAAGAGCCAGACCAATCAGTCCATGCCTGTCTCTCTCTCTCTGATAAATGTGAATCACAAGCAGAGTGATCACGTGAATGAAAAACAATCACAAAAAAAACTATCCTAATGGGGGCTCCACAAAGATTGTTGCTTTCTGCTCTCTAGATCCCTAAAGCTGTTCAAATGTCTACTATTTCTAAAACTCCATTTTTCATCTTGGAAGAAAATGAGCTTATCATCCTAGTAAATCATTTAAGTTACCCAAACCTTTCTATTACTTGAACCGAAAAACCCTAAATTGATATAGGTACTATTTAACACATTTGTAACCAAAATAGTCTACCTTTGAATAAGGAAATAAAATAAAAATTAACTTCAAAATATTTTTAAATGAATTTACAAAAGTAAAATCAATGTCAGACATAGAACATTTTAAAACACCATATATCCTATCATAAGAAAAAAATACAATAGCATAGTATTCATTTATGTGTTTCTTGCTAGGTTTTTAAACTCCATTACATAAGACCTATCCTATAACCATATGCAAGAACCAGGTTTTTTTTAAGACCAGGTTTTGATAATAATCATAAGGAGAAAAAAATGTTTACTCAGGAATGTAATCTCTTCTTCAATTTTCATTTGGATCCTACTACTCAAGGTGCCTTCTCTGGAGCTCCTGCTTCATTTCCTCTTACCCACTATCAAATGAAGGATTTGCGGTAAACTTCATGATTAGGACTAAGAAGAAAAACATTTCTAAAAATATCTATTTGAGCAGCTGACTGATGTTTCCATTTGTCTGACTGATCTTGCAATCCACTGAAGTCTTTATGAGGCAAACACAGGAGCAGACACAAACAAGTGATGACCAGCCCTCCAAAAGCACTTAACAACGATCAGTCTATATCAACAACTTAAAGGCGAGAAACTCAAGCGCTCAGAAATGAGATTATTAACCTCATCTCCACCTCATTACCTACCGGTTTTCCAAAATTCTAAGCTGTTATCAAGTGCAAAGCTTAGAAATGTCTTTCAAAGGACAAATGTGATTTCAGTAGGAAAAAAAATACATCTATATTCCTACTATAGCCTGGGACTTACTATTCATCAAAACAAGTTAATTCAAATGCATAACCAACATCTATAGTCATTTCCAGTAGGTGAGAAATGAGGCAAAATAAACAGAAGATAAAATCTCTATCTAGGAAAGCACACGATTTAATCGGAAAGACCAAAAATACACGTGAAATAAAACATTCATATATAATCAATATTATAATTGAATATGCTACATTTTACCTTTTCTCCTAATATTTTTACTGTAAACTAAAGTGGTTTAAGAAGGGGAAAATACCTGAGTGCTATTTTGAAACCAGGAACTGTATTCATTAATGAGATTTTTTAAATGTCCATTTATATGTAGTCAGAAACAAAATTAAATGCAATTTTTATCTAACATTTTTCTTCAATTCAACATGTTCCCAATTAACACACACTATAGTTTGGCAACTGCCATTACAGTACCTCAAATGTTCCTGCAAAAGACTGCTTCAGGCAAGGATAGGAATGTTTCTGTTAAAGAATGGGCGAAGAAGGAAAAGAAACACAATTTTAAATTGAAAAGTGTTACAATTTCATTTCCTGTCAAGTATCAGACGTGGTATTTAAACACAGGGCTTCTGGTACACACTTTTGTTGCTGCAACCCCAATTTACTGACCTTGTCAAAAATCATATACTATTGGAATCTAGAGTTGCTTACTACCAATAACGGGCTAAAGAAGAATACCAATTGCTGTCTAATTCCTTCCGACTAGCTGAAAGTACTTTGCTTCTTCCTTAATATATACAATATCTGCATTGGAAAATAACAAGCAGGAAGTCCCTGGTGGTGGCAACATCTTGGAAAGCAGAAACTCACAAAAAGAAACAAATGAAAAACAAAAATCAGCAACACATACACACAAGCAATGAGGTCAAGAGAGTAAACTATGCAAAGTTTTTTTACTATTTTCGAGATGATGTTGGTTTGGAAGATTTACACTACCTTCAAAACTTACAAAAACATTCAAAATAATGTGGTACTAGCATACCGCACATATATCAATGGAATAGAATAAGGAGTCTAGAAATGGACCCATAAACAGAGTCAATTAATTTTCAACAAAACTGCCAAGGAAACCCACTGGGAAAAAGAAAATACTTTCAGTAAAAACTGGATATTCATTAAAAACAACAAGAACAACCAAAACAGCCTGGCTTTTATACTAAACAAAAATTAACTCAAAATGAATCACAAATCTAAATACAAAAGCCAACATTATAAAACTTCTAGAATAAAAATGGGAAAATAAAAATTTGTAGACAAAAAAATTCTTAAGATATGCAAAAAATATAAACCATGAAAGAAAACAGATATGCTAAATTTCAAAAAATTAAATTACTTCTCTTTAAAAAGTTTTTAAAAAAGGCAAGACATAAACTGTTAGAAAATATGCACAACACATATATTAGACAAATGACTCAGATTCTGACTATATAAAGAACCTTCAATAAGAAATCAATAAGAAAACAATTTTTTAAATGAATAAAAGATTTAAACAATTTACAAAAAAAAATACAAATGGCTAATAAATCCAAGAAAAGATGCTTACTACCACAGTCATCAGCGAAACGCAAATGAAAAACCACAATGAGATACTATTACACAACCACTAGAATGTTAATTAAATTTTTTTAACTGAAAATGTAAGTGTTGATGAGAAGGGGAGCAACTGGAACTCTCATACATTGCTGGTGAGATGCAAAATGGTACAGCTACTCTTAAGTATTTACCAAAGAAAAATGGAAACATGTCCACTCAAAAATTTGTACATGGATGTTCACAGTAGCTTCATTTACAATAACCGAAAATTACAAACAAGTCAAATGTCTATCAAAAGGTGAATGGATAAACAAATTGGATATTCATTACAATACTGTAATAGTATTCCTATACCATGGAATACTATCCCAAAATAAAAAGGAATAATCTCAAAAATATGCAGGGCAAAATAAACCAGACAAGAGTACATACTCTATGATTCCGTTCATATGAAATCTTAGAACAGACAAAAGCAATCCACAGTAACAGAACCCGAATCAGTCATTGTCTGACATAGAGTAGGAAAGGGAAAGATTAAGTTCAAAGGGCACAAGAGAATTTTGGGGACTGATGGAAAGTTCTATATCTGTATCTATTGTGGTAGCAGTAACATGGGTGTATACATCTGTCAAAATGAATCAAACTATGTACTTAAAATGGTTTCATTTTATTCAGGTGTAAATTATACCTGAATAAAGTAGTTTGGGTTTTTTTTAGTATTTTTTTTAAGTGATATTGGGGGGGTGTGAGGTGGAAAGCAGGAAAGACTACAGAAGTAGCGAAAGGCAAAATGATGCTGTTTAAGTAACAATGTTTAAAATCAGAAAAAATGTAAAAAATCTAGCACAACTAGGCCTGGTGTGGTGGCTCACACTTGTAATCCTAGCGCTTTGGGAAGGCGAGTCGGGCAGATCACCTGAGGTCAAAAGTTAGAGACCTGCCTGGCCAACATGGTGAAACTAAAAATACCAAATACTAAATACTAAAATACTAAATATTAAATACTAAAAATACCAAAAAAAAAATCAAGCCCAACTAAAACCAAGAGTGTAACTGAGATAATTAATTTTGTCTGTAAAAATGGGAATAACTCACAGGATAGCTGTAAAAAATAGATGAGATAGTTAATCTTATCACTGTACTACTTAACACTATGTATGCTGGTAAATTACAGCAACACAATTCATATTAGTTGAATTTGTATCTACCCATGGTAAGTGTTAAGGTGAAGCAAAGAAAATAAGTAAAAGTAACATGGAATAAATCCTGAAAGAATTTCTAGAGGAAATTATCTTAAGATGCCACTTTTGAAAAGAGAAAAGGAAATGGGTGGAAAGGAAGGAGAGACCTACAGGTGGAGGGAATGGTAATGTGCAGAAGAACGGAGGCGGAAAGGAGCAAGTCATATGTATGAGATGGCAAAATTAGCATGCCTGTGGCAGCAAATCCATATATAGGAGTATCAAAAAAAAAAAAAAAAAAACGAGTAATCTTCCCATCTGACGCGAACACTCATTTAAATGTTACAGTAGGACCCAGAAATGTAACTTCATCCAGTGGATGCTATGATACATGATAAATATATTCAACCATTTAAAACAGAGAAAAATAAAAAGTTCTATCTTTGTGTTTAAAAAATGAGAATGCTTACAATTACCAGCTTCAGTCTCTTGGAGGTTAGCCACAGTTCTTCCCAAAAGAAAAAAAAATTATAATTATTAAAATATAATTATAGCTAAGCAACATATGGACTTGCTGTGCAGCTGTCCCTGTGCTTCTGAAACTATGAAAGCCTTTACATTTTGCAAAGTCTGATTTCTATAAATGACTGGTATTTGGAAAATAAGATACAAGAAAATCTGCCCAAGTAACTAATCAGCTACAACAAGAATTATTTCATAGCATACTACTTAAAAGGTATCAAGACACTAAAATTGTATTTCAACAGACATAGTATGACCAAGATCAGGATTCCTGGGCATTTATAACTTTAAACTGTTTTTACATTTATACATTTAAACGTGTTTAATTAAAGAATGCAGGGTTACCACTGTTATGATGTGCAAACTAACTTAAATCTTAAGATTTTGCTTATAGAACAGTGTTTCATATACAGAAAAGTATTATTTTCAATGTCTTATCACTGAGAAGAGATAACAAAGATAATAGTTATAGTAATAACTTGAGCAAATTAAGTTCTCTGAATGAGAGAAATCTACAGAAATGTACGATGAGAGAGATTCACAATGAGAAATAAAATATTAAAGGACAACAGGCCAGGCACGGTGGCTCACACCTGTAATCCCAACACTTTGGGAGGCTGAGGCAGGTGGATAACTTAAGGTCAGGAGTTCAAGACCAGCCTGGTTAACATGGTAAAACCCCGTCTCCACTAAAGATAGAAAAATTAGCTGGGCATGGTGGTGGGTGCCTGTAATCCCAGCTACTCAGGAGGCTGAGGCATGAGAATCACTTGATCCCAGGAAGCAGAGGTTGCAGTGAGCTGAGATCGTGCCACTGCACTCCAGCCTGGGCAACAGAGCAAGACTCCATGTCTAAAAAATAAATAAATAAAATAAAATAAATAAAGACAGTAATACTGACCTTTAAACGCAGTAGCACCAATGGAGATTGCTGAGGACAACAAAGTTACAGGGTTAAATTAATTTAAGTCTCTTTATTGAGAAAGGCTGTTATATAGTGGCAGTCAGCTAACTAACAAGGTTTTATCTGCTCCATCTACATCAAGGCCATACCAATTAGAGACCTTGACTCAGAGTAGAGAATGTAGAGGTTAAAGAATAACCTTAACGACTTTTGCTTTTTGAACCCATATATTATACATCAATGTAGTCACTAAAATATTTACAAACACATAAAAATTTGATGTGTTATATTGCTCAGAATCATGAATAATTTTTCTTTTCATGATAGTATTTTACACTATTAAATACTTTTTAAACCACTAACTATATATTCACTAAAAGTATATATTTATTCCTATTTTAAGAAACACAAATTGGAAAACAATTCTTAATAATAAGATTAGCAATAAAACACTAGTCAAGACCTGTCACTAACTTTTGTTTTTTTGTTGAAAGAAGATTTTAGGAATGTGACACAGCTATAGATTATTTTTAAATGAGGATTATGAAATATTTTAAATCAAACACCTGTAAGAATGATTAAAGGGATGACAGGCAACATGAGAGCAAGCCCTTTAAGTATAGTTCAAAGGCTTTATCATTGTAAACAAACTTATTTAAAGGTAAGAAATTTGTCTATGGGACATCTATATTATTCAGAACTTTGAGACCCAGTGCAGTGGCTCACACCTGTAATCCCAGCACTTTGGGAGGCCAAGGCAGGCAGATCACTAGAGGTCAGGAGTTTGAGACCAGCCTGGCCAACACGGTGAAATCCCATCTCTACTAAAAATACAAACATTAGCCGGCTGTGGTGGCACATGTCTGTAGTCCCAGCTACTCGGGAGGCTGAGGCAGGAGGCTGAACCTGGGAGGCAGAGGCTGCAGTGAGCCAAGATCACAACACTGCACTCCAGCCTGGGTGACACACCAAGACTCCATCTCAAAAAAAAAGAAAAAAAGAAAAAAGATTAGAACTTCGAGGATGAAGTTCAAAATTGAAAGGAATAAAAAAGGAATGAGAAGTCCTAAGAGCCTGCTATTAAATAACTGGGGGGGGGGAGGGGGAGGGTAAGTATCCTGAATCTCTTACTTAGGGTAGGAAGTATATTTTGAACCACCTACCTTAAAACCATGCCACCCAACAGCCACACAGAGAAAAAAAAAAGACAGATATCAACTTTTTTAAAAGTAAATTTAAATTAAAGCTCTGCCTAGGGAAGCCATTGTTGGAGTCATTCATTTTCTCAATATTCTTCTCTATGCGTATTTATGTCTCTGTTTTAATAAAACCCTATGCAGAAAAAATAAGTAAAATTTTTAAGTGTTTAAGCAAAAAGTCAAAAAGGGCAAAGAAATTTAAACATATGTAAAGGTAACAAGAAAATATTAGAAAAATAAATGCCAAAGTTTAAGAATAAGAGTGTACAAAATGTCAATGTACTAAGAAGACTATGGACAAAGATAAAAACAGATAAAAATAAAAGGAAATACAAATGAAAAACTAAAACAAAATAACATCAGCAACTTAAGACACTGAAAGCAAGAAAACAAAAGCCATCTTTCAATCAACGTAATATTAATAATGTAGCAATGTTAATTCAAAAAATGAACACCTTTACCCAAACACTCTTCAAAGACTGCTTTTCCCTCCTAAGATTTTTCATGAAAACTTTAGTTAGCAAATAATCTCACGATAAAAAGCCGAAGAGTGAAGAGCACAGCTCCTGGTCTCATACCAATGGCTACTATCCCTAGTGCTCCGGCTTTTCTAAGACACTTATACAAGAAGATAGCACGATCCCTCAAAGAATGCTGAGCAGGCCGTAAGTGCCATTTGTCTAACTTCCCATGAGCAGTCAACGGGTACAACCAAACATAGACCCATACACATCCCACATCCCCTAAAAAAGTAGTCTGGATTTTCAGTCAGAAAACAGTCGGCTTCAAGGAAGCTTCTTTTTTTAGGTCATTGTTATCTTAAAAGCAGTAGGCATGCCTGCTGAGTATACCAGTAAATGATAAGAAATCATCTTTTTGAATCTTGTTTCTAACATCCTTCCTCCCCCGATCATTGTGTTTTTAACTTGGCAAAGCTTATCCCCTTAAGTGTTCACAGCTAGATTGAGATCATTACTTTTCATATAAAATTCTAGAAAACATCTGCACTTTGAAATCCTGGCATTCCTTAACAGCATTCTAGAGCTATCAAGACACTTCAAGTCAACCTCTCAATAACCATAAATTTTAGAGATCACAAAATGAACACAAAAGGGTTAAGTGACTACTTGCCCAAGATCCCAGGGCAAGAGACCAGAACCAAGGTCTCTTGAGTCTAAGTCTAAGGTTGTAAGAATAAAATACACGCAATCAATGGGAGGAATTATTAGGAATCTGACTTTTAGATTTAAGATGTATTGATTGGTAGAAAAACTGCAAAACAACATTACAATAGAATACGAGTTCTGTTTTTAAAAAAATTATATAGTCGTGTGTGTGTGTGTGTGTGTGTGTGTGTGTGTGTGTGTGTACAGAGAGAGAAATCTAGAAGAATAACACCAAACTGCTAACAAGGTGGGCTATTTCAGACATAAAGTGGTGGCAACAGAAGCCAACTTAATGAGTTTTTATAGCTGCTGGAATTTATATTGAGCACACATTGATATAATAATCATATTTTTTCTTTAAAAAAAAAAAAACTTCAGACAAGCAAACACATTTCAAGCAGAAAATTATCCCAAAATGGCTTAAGTCTCTCTCACACACACATACACATGCACACAACTCCAAATATATTATTTGTAATTGAGATTAACCTTGAAATTACTTTTCACATCAAATGTGGTCTTCCCTTAAGAAGAGCAAAACCTTAACATATTAGAATTATTCTAACAAGTTACAGCAATCAAGAAAAGTAAAAGTCTGAATTATAAAATGCATTTAAAAACATTTTTCCTTTAGATACATAGTAGTAACAGAAAAAGAAAACACAGCTAGCAAATAATCTCAGGGTAGACCAAAAAGAGCAGAGCTCCTGATCTTTCATACCAACGGCTACTATCCCTAGTGCCCCAGCTTCTCTAAGACACATAACGCAAGAAGATGGCACAATTCCTTACACCATAATGGTAAATCTACAGTAGCAATAGAAAGTATTTGTAATAAATAAGTATTTGCAATTTAAAAATTATTTAGATGTGGTCAGGCGCGGTGGCTCATGTCTGTAATCCCAGCACTTTAGGAGGCCGAGGCAGGTGGATCACATAAGGCCAGCAGTTTGAGACCAGCCTGGCCAATACTGTGAACCCCATCTCCACTAAAAACACAAAAATTAGTCAGGTGTGGTGGTGCACGTCTGTAATCCAGGCTACTCAAGAGGCTGAGGCACAAGAATCGCTTGAACCCAGGAGGCAGAGGTTGCGGTGAGTCGACATTGTGCCACTGCACTCCAGCCTGGGTGACACAGAGCAAGACTGTCTCAAAAAATAATAATAATAATAATTAAATAATAAAAATTATTTAGATGTAAATGCATACTGCTTCAACAGTTTTTACCACATTAAAAATAGGCCATAGGCCAGTTGAGGTGGCTCACACCTGTAATCCCAGCACTTTGGGATACCAAGGTGGGCAGATCACCTGAGGTCAGGAGTTCAAGACCAACCTGGCCAACATGGCGAAACCCTGTCTCTACTAAAAATACAAAAATTAGCCAGGCTTGGTGGTGGGTGCCTGTAATCCCAGCTATTCGAGAGGCTGAGGCAGGGAGAATTGTTTGAACCCGGGAGGTGGAGGCTGCAGTGAGCTGAGATCGTGCCACTGCACTCCAGCCTGGGCAACATGACAAGACTCTGTCTCAAAAAATAAAAATAAATAAAAATAAATAAAAGTAGGCCGGGTGCAGTGGCTCACGCCTGCAATCCCAGCACTTTGGGAGGCCAAGGCGGGAGGATCACCTGAGGTTGGGAGTTCGAGACCCACCTGGCCAACCTGGAGAAACCCTGTTTCTACTAAAAATACAAAATTAGCCAGGCGTGGTGGCACATGCCTGTAATCCCAGCTACACGGGAGGCTGAGGCAGGAGAATCGCTTGAACCCAGAAGGCAGAGGTTGTGGTGAGCCAAGATCATGCCATTGCACCCCAGCCTGGGAAACAAGAGCGAAACTCCATCTCAAAAAAATAAAAATAAACATAAAAAAATAAAGCATAATGCTTACTTCACCACTCCCTCCCTTTAAAGACTCTCCAGTACTTTTAGTTCTTCTGTCTCTTTAACCAATCCTTTGACTCTTTCACTAGCTCTCCCTCTATCTCAGGGTTTCATTCTAGTAGAGATGCTTCTCTTCATCACACTCTCCACTACCACCTTCAGTGCAGGTACTGTCCATATCACCAGTCTAGAACTTTCTCTTGCATTCAAAAACCATATATCTAATGACCTAGAGCAGAGTTTTAAAAACTTTAGGATGCATCACAATCATCTGGAGGGCTTGCTCCAAAACAGATTTCTGACACCCACCCCCAAAGTGTCTGATTCTACAGGTCTGGGGTGGAGTCCAATAATCTGCATTTCTACTAAGTTCCCAAGTGATGTACTTTTAGAACCACTGGCCTACAGGATTCTCCCCTTGGATGAACCACAGGTACTCTAAACTGTCTCCCAGCATCTACCCTCATCACCCTCCAAACCACTACTCACTTAGCATCCAGAGAGATCAATCTAAACCTGACCATTTCACTCCTTTGTTTAAAATTCCCTAATAGTTTTCAAGAGACTTGAAGACAAAAAGCAAAATCCTTAACATGGTCTCAGGCCTCACATGATCCAGTCCCTACCTCCTATACCACAATGTTATCTTTCTCATATTTTTTAAAACACTCCAGTCACAGTGAACTCTTTCAGTTCTTAGCAAAGCCCAAGTTCCTTGATCTTCCAAAATCTTTAAACAAGATGTTCTGCGAGAAATATTCTTTTCTCCTTCAGATCATCACCTTCTTTGGCTCCCCTCCCCGACTAGGTGTGCATATTCTTATATTGCCCTATATTTCTTCCTCTCAGCACTTCCCACAATGGTAATTACATAGTGAATTGTGCAATTAGGAGTTTACTGTCGATCTTCTACCACTTCCCATACAAAAGCTCGAAGAGGTCAGCAAGCACATCTGCCTAGCTCCTACTGAATTTTCAGCCGCTTACATAGTAACTTGCACTGAAATCTATTGAATTAATGGTCTTGTAACATTAAATTATTCTGGAACCTCAAAGGGGAAAGTATTATTAAAAAGGTCCTAGAGGCATTTTTCAGTATCCTTTAATTTTTACAAATGAGGACACTTCATTAAAGTCCACCATCTGGGAGTTTAAAACAAGAAAAATAATACCTTCAAAATAGAAAATGAAATCTCCCTATCACAAGCTCCTCTGCAACAAGATATATAAATATGTTATCATACATATTACATATATATTTCTTCCTCTCAGCACTTCCCACAATGGTAATTACATAGTGAATTGTGCAATTAGGAGTTTACTGTCGATTTTCTACCACTCCCCACACAAGTTTATTATCTACACCAAGTATAGCACTGATATCCAAAAGCCATTCAGTCACATATAATGCTAAGATAATTTTTGCAAAAAAATTTAACTTAGATATAAGCCTGCATCAAAGAGTGCACTCCAATGGGGTAGCTGCCTGGAATTAAACTTAGCCATGGATAACCACAAACTACATAACTATTAATACAACTAATAATTAAATAAGCTAAGATAATTATTCACAAAAAGTTTAACTTACATGTAAGTCTGCATCAAAGAGTATACTCTGACAGGGTAGCTGCCCAGAATTAAACCTAGCTAGGGATAACCACAAATTACATAATAAATATTCATATAAACCAGAATTAAATTACCATTCAAATCTATGTAAATATTGTTCTATAGATTTTGATCTTCTTTAACATACGAAGAATAATTCATTCGCCAACACTTTTCTCTACAGCACAGTGCCAAATCACAGTAGCACCAACACGTGGGAAACAGAACAGGTGTAACACTCAGGATATAACTTTAATACAGCAGAATTAACATACAAATAAAGGTCATCTCCATTCAGAGTAGTCACTTTCAGAGACTAGTTTCAAGTTGCCATCCCACAAAACAATTTTGGAACTCCTCTTTTCTAACCACTTTCTTAGCTACCTCATAAATGACAAAAGAAGAAACAGTTTCACCCCTGCGGTCACTGCTTATTTATACTAAAAATGGCCTTCTTCATTTTGATCCTTAATTTTATGTGTGAGACTTGGTTCAGAAAGACTTGCCACCTTTTCCAAATACCAAATACCAAATCCATTCTCAAAAGATATAATTTGTCACCACAGAATGTAGGTTAAAAGAATGAGGTGAAAGACAGTAAAGAAATGTCAAATGCATTATTCCAAAAGTGTTTGTTGAACAATAGTGATATTATTGAAATAAGGTAACTTTGAACACACTGACCATCTCTTAGAGAAACACATAAGTTCTAGAATAATAATTTTAAAACTGGTCATATTTCTACTTTGGCACAACTCATAGACATGCCTGATACCTGACTTCTGATTTTCCTGAATGACGCATGCTATAAAGCAAAAGCACATTTATTATAAACTTCAGATTAAGAAATGTAACAAATTTTAAGAATAAGATCCGATGGTCTAATATAAACAACATGGCTTGGGTGGCAGTATGTTATACTAAAAGAACTTAACAGCTATAGAGTGAAATAGGCGAAGGTTCAACTTCTCACTTAGCTCCTTAGCAGCAACATGACTGAACATGTTACTTAAACACTGAGTCTAAAAAAAAAAAACAGGAATAATTCCATCTGTAAAACAGTTAGAATACCATCTATTTATTTCAGAGCTATTACAAGGATTACATAATATACTACCTGATTGGAATTTTAGCCTCTCTAAAGAATCTAAAAGGCCATTGGTTCCAAACTCTCCATTTTACTAGGACCCAGAGAGAGTAAGTGGTTTGCCAAGGTCACACAGTTACTTACTAGGAAAGATAACACTTCTTGCAGGTTTATTTTCCCAGTGCATCTGTTCTCTAAATCAGTCAGCATTTGTGATACTAGGTCGCATTGTGACAAGGGTGTCTCAAAGAGTAACTCAAGGCCTCTTAAAGATAATGCTTGCAAATATGATACTGGCAACCATATATTAATAATTTAGTCCTATACACTAAATGTCTGTTTTTAAAGTTAGATATTTTAAGTTACAGCTAAAACTACCCTGATTCTATGTAAATTTTGACCATTTTCTTGAAAGGTTATTTTCTAAGAAAAATATGAACACTGTTCTAAGATACTAGGAAAAAATTAATGAATTTCTCATTTATTAAGTATGATATCTGGTTATAATAAACCAGAAAGGTTTGCCCAGTTTTCTACAAGTAAAAAATCATCCCCATACTTAAGCTGACGGTTCATTACTAAGGATCAAAGCTTGAAATGCAAGATCTACAGTTAATTCAAGACAGTCTCAAGGAATTTTATTACTGATATTCAATCCCAAAAGAAATTTATTCATATTTCAATACAGACTAAGAATGGCTATCTTGGGCATGAAACAAAAATGAGCATCTGAGTGCCTAACTCTGCCCAGGATGCTTCTGGGTTTTGAATTCTAAGTATAAATTACCACAACCAGAGGAGTCATCATCTCTAATTTACAATGTAAGTAACCAAGACACTTAATTACACTTCTCTATGCCTATTCAAACAGGAACTGTGAAAACCAACATAATTTGTGAATTAAGAATAACTACCAAAAAATGAGAAACTATGGAGCTAACTCTTATATTGAAAGCCTGTTCCTAAAGACTCTGATCAACGTGACAAGGAAAAAATTCTTAGTGATTATTTTTAAAAACATACAGAGTTGACCCTCGAATGACAAGAGTTTGAACTGCATGGGTCCACTTATACACGGATTTTTTTCAGCCAAACAAGGACTGAAAACACTGGATTCGTAAGATGTTAAAACCACACATGTCGAGGGCTGACATTTACAATACGCAGGTTCCGCAGGGCCAGCTACGGGACTTCTATGCACGGATTTTGTGTTACGTTGGGGGTCCTGGAACCAATTCCCTGCTTATAGCAAGAAACATCTATATTTTCTGCATAATCAAAATGTCAAGGAAATGCTAATTTCTACTGTTTACTATTAACCTCTATTAATGAATTATGAAGAAGCTCCTCCAAAATAACCAAATAAACAAAATCTTGCTAGTTAAAATGCATGTTAAATTTATGTTAAACAATCAACCTCTTAAATGGATCTCTGTTTTTACAGAGAAATCTTCCCTCAGTAATGACAGGGTATTTTTTTAAATTCCTACAACCTAATCATAAATTCTTGGGAAAATAATAAGAGCCATCATTTCCCAAATAATCAAATATTATAAAACATTCAAAGTATTATCTATATAATGCTGAAGATTCTATTTTCTAGCAGCATTATTAAGGTATTGCTGACATATAAAAAAATTGTACATATTTAAGGTGTACAATCTGATGTTTGAAGATTCTATTTAAAATTTCAGGGATAGCAAAAAAAAGTATCAAAATTATAAACATAATAGAAGGAATAAAGGATTCAATCGGTCAACAAGAAATTAATCATGACAACTGATATCTGAGAGGGAAAATGTTTAGAATACCTGTAAAAAATAAAGCATGAGGTATATAACCACTTGATTCTAAAAGTTTCTTGATCTAAAATCAAGAGCTAGTTTCACAGAATATAGAGAAAGGTAACAAGATCATCAGTAATCAGTCCACTACATTAGAAAATATTTAAAACTTTGACTTCCTGGACAATGAGCAAATTTAAAAAAAATGTAAAGGGGCCAATTATTTTCTAAGCTACTTTAAATTTCAAACAAGTACAGTATTTACTATGAAAGTTCTATAATACCTTATATAATCAGGCCAAATTTGGGGATTTAAGCCTTCCAAATCACAACCCCTCTGACAGGATTTTCAACTTCAAAGTAGTCAGCATTTTTTAAATCTGGCGTGTAAAAACCTCTGACTGCAGGAGAATTACGACTCCAATTACAAAAGACACACATTCCAATAGTCAAAACCATAGCTGTAGAAGAAAGAACTTCAAAATCTTATGAGAAAAGAATTGAAAACGATTAAACAAGATTAAGAGCAGAATTAAACAAGATTTGCATTCTGCCAATGCAGAAATATCACAGAAGAGAGGGAAATTAGATGAATGTATTTAAATTTATTTACCCAGGTTAATTTACAATAGTATTCTAAGCTCAATCAATATGGAGCCTGAAGATTATGAAAAGGAGTATGGGAAAAGAAGTAAAAGACAAGTTTAAAACAATGCTAGGAACAAAAAAACAAAAAATACAAAACAATAAAAAAGAATAAAACAATGCTAGCAAATTTTTATGAGTAGAAAATGAAAGGAACAAATGAAAATTAAGGCTTCCAATGAACTTGCCAGGCAATCTAAACTCAACATTTAAAGTACCAAAGATAACACAGAAGACAAGGAAAAGCAATGGAGGAAAAAATATCAACTACTGAACCAAAGTAGCTATCACACATGAGGCAGAGAAGTAAATGAAAAAGAATAACCCCTCACCCATCTAGATACACTTGAGAAACAGAACAAAAGACTTCCAAATAATTAAAATGCCACAAGGGTCATGTGTTTAAAGCTAAAATGCCATTCCCTGGAGCAAAGTCACTATTTTACACACAATTCTAAACAGTTTCATTCAGTTTCCAAGTAGCAAACAAGAAATGGCAAGATAATCATAACAACATGCAAGTTGGGGTAGGGGACAACGAAAGGGGAAACAAAAACTATGAAGCAAGCAAGAATTCAGAGTTCAAGTTTTAGGACCAAGCGGCATAAAGGCACAAACAACTATACAAATCAATAGTGAAGGGACATAAGTGTATTTTAACACTGTATCATGATCATCATAATTTCTATGAATAAATCTGCATTAACAAAAAAATAGTTCAATAGGCTCTGTTTCTTCTGTTTATGAAGCTAGAAGAAGACTTCTAATAAAAGATGGGGCGCTAAATACAAACTTTCCCTTCAGTTACTCCAGATACTCCACTGAAATAAAAACAACTCATAAAAGAAAGAAAATCGTAACAGTAAAGAAATTAAAATTGAGGCTAGAAAGAAAATCCAACAAATTTCTGGGAAATGAAAGTATATGTGAGATTGATAGAAATAACAAGCGGAAAAAGCCACAGCCTCATTATAACCTTTAAGAGTGACATGGAAAGGATGGGAACCAATACGTCTGAGAAGATCCCCAGGAAAGCATGATTATAAAGTAAATGGTACAGCAGAGGGTGGAAATAAATAGTAGGGTTAAAAATAAGAGAACTGAGTATTACTTGACTAACTATAAGGGACAGCTATATCTCCCATCCCCTATTTCCAAGCAGTTTCTAAACAACTGACATTTTACCTCCAGGCAAAAAAACAAGTCAGCTTTTCCCTAAAGAAAGTGAACCACTATCTAGGGAAAGCTAAGCGGAGGTGTGGCACAGAGTAAACACATCTCATCCAGCATTTAAAGGGCCCATACATAGCCTAGCAGCTAGCTCCTCTCTCTTTTACCCTAAAACAATCTGCCAAGAGACAGATCCTACTCTGTACTACCTTGCCCCACAAAGTGCTCTGGCCAGAATTCCTACTCAAAGAAAAAAAAATCTAATAGGGAAAACAGTCCAAGGAACAGGGGAGGGAGGGTGACCAGGAACCTAGTCTGTCTTTCTTAACCATGAATGGACAACCAAGAATTATCAGGCACATAAGGAAAACTGAGCATGAAAAAAGAATGATTACAAAAACAAACATAAAAACTGACCGGAGGAGAAAAGGAGATAAATTAGACACAAGGAGACACAAGGTATCTTTAAAAAAATCTAATTTGCACATTCTAAGACTCAAGACGACAATACAACATAGTGTAAAAATGGTGGGAAAAGAAAAAGAGAACAACAAAACTTACAGATTACCCCCAGGAAAATCAGCCAAAATACTAAAGGGGAAAAAAAACCCACAAAATATAAAAGATGAGAGAAGGAAGATCAAGACAGAAAGCAACTGCCTACTGAAAAGCAAAAAACATGATGAAGGGAGGAAATTATTAAAGACAGAGAAGAGTTTCCTGGAATTGGAAAAATAATCTGATTCAGACTGTAAGAGCAACTGAGTATCTAGACAAACAGCCAAACAAAACAAAAATGACCTATACACCTCATTATGACTTTGTAGAAGATACAAAAGAACGGATTCTAAAAGTTTTCAGACAGAATAAAGAACAAATCACCTTAAAAGGATAGTGAATCAGACTGATACATGACTCCTTCTTTTTTTCTTTTGAGACGGAGTCTCACCCAGGCTAGAGTGCAGTAGTTTGATCTCGGCTCACTGCAACGTCCACCTCCCAGGTTCAAGTGATTCTCCTGCCTCAGACTCCTAAGTAGCTGGGATTACAGGCACCTGCCACCATGCCCAGCTAATTTTTAGTAGAGACAGGGTTTCACTATGTTGGCCAGGCTGGTCTCAAACTCTTGACCTCATGATCCACCCGCCTCGGCCTCCCAAAGTGCTGGGATTACAGGCGTTGATGTATGACTTCTAATCAGCATCCCTAGATGCTAGAAGACAACAAAGCAATCCTTTCAGGGTTCTAAAGGAAAATTATTTCTAACTAACAATATTGTACCCAGCCAAATTATCAATCATTTGTGAGAATAGAATGGAGACTTTTTTACACAGAATTCGGAAAGTTTGCCTCTCATACATACTTCTTTTTCAAAGAGTTATTTGAAGATGTACTCCAATAAACAGATCAAGCAGATGCAAAAAAAAAAAAGGAAAAAAAAATATGTATAACAGAATGGATCCAATTCAAGAGTAAGGAGAAAGGAAGTTACAAGAAAAGACCTAGAAGAGTCCAAATGGAGGCAGAGTTACAGACAAATACAGATAAATAGAGAATGCAGCACAAAAGGCAGTATGCTGAAGAGTTGGGGTGTGGGGGGGCTGGGGTGTAGGGGAGGCTATAATAGAGGCATATAGTACAAGAAAAGAGGGCAATTTAAGACACTAAGAAAAACAGGAAGTCCTATTCAAAAACTTTTTTAATTCCAAAGTTAGATTTTGGTCATATCCAAATTTTTTTTTAATTTGATGGTCAGAATTGATAAAATAAATAAAGTCTACTAATTCTCTATATTATCAACATGTTTCTTCTGGCAGCCCAGGGACAGAAAAGGAATAATCATCTAAGCACATTATCTGGCTTAGCATTAAATAATACTTACACAGTCATGGTATCAACACTATTTATTGGTTTTCATAATTTAGAGACAACCTGTGGACATGACAGCTGAGATTACAGGGGAAAAAACGTGTATTTGTTTAGGCCAGGGGTGTCCAATCATTTGGCTTCCCTGGACCACACTGGAAGAGAAGAATTGTCTTGGGCCACCCATAAAATACACTAACACTAACAATAGCTGATGAGCTTTAAAAAACAAAAAAATCTCCTTATGTTTTAAGAAAGTTTATGAATTTGTGTTGGGCCGCATTCAAAACTGTCCTGGGCCGTGCGCAGCTCACCAGCCAGGGATTGGACAAGCTTAGTCTAGCCAATAAAAAGTACAGCTACTGGTTTAGAAGAAATAATCACAAGGTAATAAATGGAAAATTCAAGTAATTTCTAAAGCTGATAAAGAGAAAGGTGAATCAACATTAAGGCTGGGTACCAGGGTTCATGCCTGTAATCCCAACATTTTGGGAGGCAGGAGTTCAAATTCAGCCTATGCAAAATAGCGAAACCCTGTCTGTACAAAAAAAATAAAGTAGCCAGCCACAGTGGCACAAACCTGTAGTCCTAGCTACTGGGGAAGGTGAGGCAGGAGGATCCTTTGAGCTCAGGAATTCTGCACTCCAGCCTGGAGTGCAGGAGACAGGA